>NC_000012.12:72460128-72611643 GCF_000001405.40 Homo sapiens
AAAAGAAAGTGTGGAACAAAAAGCAGTCAGTGCCTGTTCTCATAAGATATACAGAAATGTAAGAGACCCTTGAGAATTGTGTTTCAACAATAACACTCACAGTAGTCCTGCAAAATAGTTGCAATTATATTCATCTTCATTTTACAGGTGAGGAAAATGATGGGTAGAGAGGATCAGTAATGTGCTGGGGCAGAATTGAGTTCATGTTCTTAATCCCTGCTCTATGCTGTAGCCATTATACTGTGCACTCATTGTAGCATATGCACTGCATTGTAATTGCCATCATGTGTGTCTATAATATGTATGCTTTTTGACTTGTTTGTAACCCCCATTGGTTTTTAAGCTCCATGAAAATTTAAGGGGACTTTGTCTTTATTGTTCAGTGTTTATATGCCCAGCCTAAATCAGTCTGGCCAGTATTAGGTAATGAGCAAGTATTTTTGGAATAAATGAAAATACACTGTAAATGAAACCTTAATAGGAAGGAACCTTACATTCAACCTGTATTCTCTGAGATAACAGCAAATCTTTGTTATATAACAAGTATTAGTCAACTTGGGCTGTCACCAGTGGATGGCAAGAAGGGGTCATTTAATGTCTTTTCTGTGTTCATACCTAGTCATGTTTCTTAAAGCAAAGACTGATTTTGTAAGTACTAGACGCACAACAAAAAATGCACAATATGATGGTGAGAATCAAAGTAGCACTAATTTTAAAAATTAAAGGGGTGAGAAACTGACAAATGTTCCCTGTGCATATGGGATCTATCCTTTGGCATAGAAAGCCTTTTTCAGGGAAAAAGGAAATCAAGCAACACATGTAAAGTGTTCTTCCATTGCAATTGACAGTAATCAGTAAATGTCGAGGAAAATTGATTGCTGAAATGAAAAAAAAATCTTTTGAATGTGTGGCAGGAGGATCAGCAAAAACACTGGCTGCCTATTATGGCCTAATGCTAATTCAGGAGAATGCTAGAAGTTCGAGAACTTGTAAGCTAAGCTTCTGAATACAAGTAGTGCTGATGAAAGTTCTGTTACAACCCACAATGTGTAGCTGAAACTAGTCTGCTTTAAATGAATGATGCCCAGATAAAAAGACCATCAGGAGAAAAATGTATTCTGCTTTAAAGCTTTGAAGGACTGACTCCTAAATTTGGTAGGAATGTATCTAAGGATAGCAAAGTTTAACTTCTTTGTCAAACAAACTGAAAAAGAGTCATTCAGTACCTAACTGGTTTATGAGTAAAAATCTTGAGAATATACCCTTGAAAGGAAGAAAAAGAATGGTAGTTCTCATTTTATAAATATTAGTTATGGGTTACTTCTATAAATTTTATCTTATTAATATTACTGTTTTAAATGTAGTTTATATTTTTACTAGCCCCATATATTAATCTTCAGAGCAAGATGTTCCATTTTTTATTCTTAAACACAAATGCATATAGACAGTCTTGAGCAACAACCAGTCATGGTATAATCAAAATACAACTTTTTTTTTTTTTTAGCCTACTATGCCTTTAAAATTAGTGTCCCTGGATGATAATATGAGCATATCCTATAATGTTTGTTGGCTCAATCTTAAGTAGGATCTATGTTGTTTTAAATCATAATATAAAATTTCAATTTGAAAATTAAAATCTATAATGGAACATATTAACCTAAACTTCATCTTTGTTTGAAAATAAGACTCCTCCTCCTCTCTTTCCTGAGGCCTATGATGCATTCAATTCCCCAAGGTGGGGAAGAACTGGAAAGATCTCAAATAGTGATAACATTTATCATGCTTACTATGTAGGACTAAGTGCTTTACATGGTATAACTCATTTAATCTTCACAGCAACTTGCAAAGCGGGTACTGTTAATATCCCCATGTTATCAATAAGGAAGTGAAAGCTGAGAGAGGCTAAACAATTTGGGTTTGGATCCCAAACCCAGTATGGACTCCACAACTTGCAGCTTTAAACATTATATCCATTGCCTTCTGCCAAGAAGATCTGAGAAGCAGAGCTGGAAAAATAACTTGGATTGTGATTGAGATGCTGCTAGAGTACAGCCTGGTGACAACATTGAAGGTGAAATTCAAAGAGTGAAGTGGGGCAGGAAACAGAAGTAAGAGTTAGGTCAGAAGCTTGCAGATTTGAGCACAAGATGGTTTTGGATTGGAAGAATCAATAGGCATAGAGCCCATCTGTGAATCGGAAGGGAATGCATCTGAGTGATACTTTGCATAGGAGTAGAGAGGTGATTTAGAAGAGCCGCAGAGCTCTTTACATGGCAGAGTGAAACCATGGAATTCATGACCAGAGCTGTTGAACCTAAGGCCCTTTCCTGGGTGGTGTTGGTAGTGGTTATACATCTGTGTGGCTTATGATTGCAGGCAAAACTAGTTGTAAGCTATATTTAGCATGACTTGCCATCAAAGGTAACTATTCATTTATTTTTCAGTTACCTTTTGAATATTAGCCATATGCTTGGTACTATGCTAGCACTGCAAATGAACAGTTAAGATTAAAACTGCCCTGTCTTGGATTGGGTTGATGTTTCGCTTAGATACTAATTTTCTTAAACTTTTCCTGGTCATTTGATCAAATGTATTCTGCCTCCAACTCTGTTATTCTTTAACATACCATGTGTAATTTTCATGATAGCCCCAATTGCAGTCTCATATTATCTATTTGTCTATTTGTGTATTATTTGGCCCCCTGCCCTACCTGCACTCCCCAACCCCTCAAACCTGGAACATGAGCTTGGACACAGCAGCATCTTTGTTAGTCTCCTTCTCTGCTGGAACAGAGTAAGGACTCAACAAACTTTACTGAGTGAGTGAATGAATGCCTAATTCAAAGAAGTACCTTATGTGTACAAGGAAAACCAGAAAGAACAAATTTATAGAATTTATTCTGTTCTGAAACCACAACTTCTAATATTAATGTATGGCACTTTAGATTTTCTGAGCAAAAATATCTTACATTCAATCAGAGACCAGTGCTGCTTTTCAGGAAAATGCCACATCCCCTGACTACACTAGGGGCTCAGCAGCAGGTCTGTTTTCTGCCTAGGCATGGAAGGATTGGCTGCTGAGGTGATGCTCCTGAATTGCTAGGATATTTATTTCTTCAGCATTAAAACTCTTGTCTTCCAGAACTTTCTATCCCTTTTCCCTCAGGATTAAGGTTGAAGTCTGGGGCATTCAGGTTCTGATCTTATTATAGACTTATGAATCTCAAATTAGCTAAATAAATGGATGACAAATCTAGAATGAACTGATAAGTTTGAGTGTGGACAACTGGAAGGCAGAAATTGGCTGGTGAAGAAATATTGCCAGGAAAAGTCAGTACTGTAGGTAGTATGGCTTAGGCAAAAGGAAAAGTATGAGAGAAAGTAGGACAATTGATAACTATCTGAGGTCACATATCAGAGAGCATCTCCTGTACTCTTCTCACACTTAGAGTGTGGAGTGTGAGCTTGATCATGTAGCAGAGAATATTTGAGCTGGAGGATACCAGACTCTTTCACACTGGAGCCAGGGCTTAGAGGAGCTCAAAGCTGGGGCAAAGCATCTTATTCTGGACTGATTATCATGACCTGTGAGATAAGAATCTGACTGTGGCAGACAGGAGAGAACTGTTATTGCACACATTTTTGTTAGTGATTATTTAATAATTTGGAATATATTAGAGTGCATTTCTAGCTTACAAGATTATTCATCAGAAGGGTAATAAGGCAACACTTTCACTAATGCTGGAGACTGGATTTCAGTTAGTATGTACTATTGAACAGACCTCATTTAGTGATTCTTTGGACCTTTTGCAAAGTTGTGAGGTTTCTCCCTGCATGATGTTCTCAGGGCAATGGGCCATTTTATTTTATGAGGGCTGACTTTCCCTAGAGGGCAAAACAAAAAGCTGCAAGGCTTTCTTAACTTTCCTTTAGTATGTACTATTAAGCCAGATTAAAAGGGGAGAGGCTTACACAAGGAGGCCCAGCACACTGGGGGCCTATCAAATGGCAGCCTACTACAAGATGCTTAGATATTTTCATCTAGTGCTCAAAGAGAGCAGTCTGGGCATGTGGGTGGTGATGGATGATGTTAAAGTGGATGAAAACACTCAAAGAAAATAAGTAGTAGAGTAAGTGTCTTAGTCCATTTATGCTGCTATAACCAAATACCTGAGACTGGGTAATTTACAGATAATAGAAATTTATTTCTTATAATTCTGGAGGCTGAGAAGTCCAAGATACGGCACAGGCAGGTTTGATGTCTGGTAGGGTCTGCTCTCTGCTTTCAAGATGACTCTTTGTTGCTGCATTCTCCGGAGGGGATGAATGTTGTATCTTCACATGGCAGAAGAGACCCACAGAGATTACATTTCAACATGAATTTTGGAGGGGACACATTTAAACCATAGCAGTTGGTAAAACAAAACAACACAGAAGCCACAGATGTAAATCCTGGAAACTTTGATTTTCAAAAGTCAGAAAGTGGCAAGAAAATGAAAAACAAAGCAAAACAAAACAAGAAGAAGGGCTAATCTGAGAAGTGGAGGAAAAACATGGATATTCTGTTATTATAGACACTAGCCTACCATATGATAATTCTCAGCAATGCCAAAAAAATGATGAATTCTGGGAAGTGTCCATGAGAGTTGTGAATTTAGTTATTCAGAGCTGTTTCAGGATAGTGTTAAGAATAGAAGGCAAATTATAGTGCATTGAGGGTGAGTAGGAGGCAAACAAGTAGAGCAAGTCAGATTTTTGTTAATTTATGTTATCACATTCACTAGTATTATATGAATTATTTCATATCTGTCTATAGTTTTTTGTACTATACTATTTAATTGGAAGCAGACTACTATGCATAATTTTATCAAGCATTTTCTTTGAATTTCCAAGTAAATTAGATTCTGAAACATTTGAATTTTCTTCTGTTTTCAAGGCATATGAAGGAGTTATGGGTATACATTTTAATGGGTATAGTCTCATAACAAATTTCTTTTGCAAAAATTAAAATAATTTAATTCGTTGTGAATTAATGTTATCTGCCTTAAATAAACAAAAGAATATTTTTGTTACTGAGCTTCCTTTTTTTTTTATTAGCTTCATTCAGGTACAGTAATGTACAGTAAGCTGTCCATATTTAAAGTATGCAGTTTGGTGCCTTAACACATGTATACACACAGGAAATTATCACCATAATGAACATATTCATCACTCCCAAAAGTTTCCCATCGCTATCTTCTAACTCCTCCCATCTTTGTCCCCAGGCAACCTCTGATGTGCTTTCTGACTCTATAGATTAGTTTGCATTTTCTGGAATTTTACATAAATGGCATGAATCATAGAGTAGATATAGCTTTCTTCTTTTTTTATTCCATATAACTGTTTTGAGATTCAACCATGTTGTGGACTGTAACCATAGTTCATTTCTTTTTATTGCTGAGTAGTATTTTGTTGCATGGATATACCATACTTTATTTATTCACCTATTGATGGACATTTGAGTTGTTCCTAGTTTTTAGCTACTGGAAATAGGCTTTTATGAATATTTGTGTACAAATGTTTGTGTAGATATATGCTTGATATAGGTGCTCTTAAATTATAAACCTATCATATAAGATTCCTTAAGTTGTGAAGACATAGAACAGAGCCACAATTAAAAATACTTCTCCATAGTTGCTTCAACAAAATCTAAGTTGCTTCAATACACGGTTATAAGGTTAGTAGCATACAATGTTTTCTTTATTTTTTCCCTACTCTGCCGTTTATAATCATGGTTCCTCATATTTATTATAAAACCTGTGTGTATATAAGAAGCTGTCCTCTACTACTGATCTGTTTTACTCTATTCTTTAATGATTTTAATTTGACTCTGGCTCCATTTGCTGAAGAGTCCTTGTTTGGTTGATCTGTAATCTTGTTACCCAGGCCTGACTTTTGTGACCTCATACCTTTCGATACCAGTATGTAACCAGCTGCCTGCTTAGGTCACCAGTGCCTGATATCTTTATCACCGGCCTCCAATTGTTTCCACACCATATCTGCTTATGCTGTTAGTCAGGCTTTTGCTATCTGACAACTGCCCCCAAGTCTACCTTCCTCTTTATTCCAAACTCCTAGACTGCACCTGGTTCATATGTATAGAGTCTTCTTCCTGTGCTATTTGAGCCAATCCAAATCCCAATGTGTGGCTTGATATGCTAGCTTAGCCTTGACGACCGACTACTCTTGGCTTCTGGAGGACTACAGCTTATGGAATTGCCTCTACTTTGTCACAGGCTTGGGTCAGAAGGCTTGTTCCTTAGTCACATGTTGCTACAAGTAAATGACACCAGGCCTGCTACTGTTGTTGCCATCTACCGGTGACAAAGTTGACACACTGTGGTCCTGTTATCTGGTTTGTTCATATTTAGACAAGGTGTTAAGGTAAAATCTTATATAAAATAATATCTATTGGTTATGAACTTACAATTCATACCAGTTCTCTGATCTATGTTCCTCCTCTTTATGTATTTCAGCCACATCACCCTTCTTTGTCAAGCATATTTCTCTCATTTTCACCTTAGGGCCTTTGCATTTGTTGTCGTCTCTTAGAATGCACTTCTGATTTCAAACAAGCTAGCCTCTACCATTATTCACATCTCAGATGAAATGTGACTACCTTAGAGAGGGCTGCCTTGACCACACCACACCCACCCCATCGATCAATCACTATCTTACTCTGTTACATTTTCTTTGTAGCATTTATCATTTACTAATTTTCTCATTCATTTATTACTTGTTAATTGACGTCCTGCACACGCTCACATATGCATGTAAGCACCATGACGATAGAGAGCAAGGAGCTTGCAGAACAAGGCAAAACTGCGTCTATATTGAGCAAAGGAGATGCTCAATGAGTATTTGTTGTATATATGAATGCATAGATTACCTGTTTCTGCCCGTTGATATCCTATTTACCTTTTTTTATTATTATACTTTAAGTTTTAGGGTACATGTGCACAACGTGCAGGTTTGTTACATATGTATACATGTGCCATGTTGGTGTGCTGCACACATTAACTTGTCATTTAACATTAGGTATATCTCCTAATGCTATCCCTCCCCACTCCCCCCACCCCACAACAGGCCCTGGTATACGATGTTCCCCTTCCTGTGTCCATGTGTTCTCATTGTTCAATTCCCTATTTACCTTTTGAAGTCCAACTTAAGTACCATCTCTTTGAAAACCTCCCCAATCAGATTTATTTTTTCTCTCTCTTAGCACTCTTAATTCTTCAACTATTTGCTCATATTTCCCTTTTTTTCGTGTTATAGCTGTTATGCACTTATGCTGAGTCTAAAATGTAGCGGAAGATGGGGTCATATTTGACTTATTTTAATATATATTTCAGACTTAAGACCACAACCAGCCAGGCGCGATGGCTCAGGCCTGTAATCCTAGCACTTTGGGAGGCCGAGGTGGGTGGATCACGAGGTCAGAAGTTCAAGACCAGCCTGGACAATATGGTGAAACCCCATCTCTACTAAAAATACAAAAATTAGCTGGGCATGGTGGCGCGTGCCTGTAATCCCAGCTACTTGGGAGGCTGAGGCAACAGAATCGCTTGAACCCGGGAGGCGGAGGTTGCGGTGAGCCGAGATCGCACCACTGCACTCTGGCCTGGGCGACAGAGCGAGACTCCATCTCAAACAAACAAAAACAACAACAAATACCCACAACCAATGCTGAGAAGATAATTTTTAAAGTCAGGAATAAAGAAAAATCAACCTTATTATAAGACTGTTGACTATTTTATTCTTTCTCTTATTTTGAAATATTTAAAGCATATGGGAAAGAATCAGTAATATTATAATCAGTACCCATACCACTAACAGTGAAATATTATTATTAAAAACATCACTATTTAATTCACTGTGTGACTGTCTTCCATCCTTTTCCCCTCCATTCTTCCATGAAGCAATCATGATCCTGACTTTAATGTTTATCATTGTTATATGTGTGTGTTTGTGTGTGCATCTTGCCATTACTGTCTCTATGCACGTGTTCATGTATAAGTAACCATCTACAACACATGGTGTTATTCTACTTGTTTTTAAATAGTAGATGTTATTATAGGGTCATTTTGCTCTTCACTTATTTCCTCGACATTGTCTTTCTCAGATTGTCCATGTGATGTATGCAGTGTTAGAATCTAGTGGTGAGATCAATTGTTTTGATTGCTGTGTAATATTCCTTTATATACATATTTCTCAGTTTCTTTGTCCTTTGCTTAAAAGCACTTAATTTTCTCTTTTCACCTGTACAAACAATACCATAGCGAACATTCTTGTACAATTTTCTGTTGCATCGTAGGGAGTTAACCCAGGGTTATATCAAGAAGTAGAACTTCTGGGTCAGAGACTGTAAACACTATGCTTGGCATTGTGATTGAAAGCACAGGTGCTGGAACCAGGCTGCTGGGTTCAAATTTCTACCCTGCCACTTACTGACTTTCCCAGGAAGCAAGGAGCGCTAGCTATTTTCAACCTGTTTTCATGAGCATGTGTGCCCTACCTCAATCCCTGGCATTAAGTAGTCAGCGTGGCTTAGGTCCTTTTGGCTTTGGAAGGATCTGCCAGGGCCAATTCCCAGCCGCCACTGCCTGTTGCTGGAGCCAGTGCCCAGCAGGCCTGTTGCTTCACATGCAATCACCACTTTGCATTTCTGTACCATTTCTGGTCCAGGGAGAGGTTTATTTTTAAGCCTGGAGATGTTTTTTAGTTTTCCCTTTTAATATTTGATTTATCATCACTACGTCTCTGGAGCAGAGGGAGTACATCGAAGCATGAACTCTTTGTGTCACCATAACCAGAAGTTGATAACACCTCTATGACCTTTTAAAATAAGCACAGATCTTAGAGTCATCTAATCATAGATATTTGGAGCTGGAAGGCATTTTAGAGATAATTAAGGCTAATGACCTTATTTCATAGGTGAGGGAATTGTGGTCTTAAGAAATTAAGTGATTTACTAATGTCGCATAGCCAGTTGGTGACAGAGCCAGACCAGAGCCTGTGGGTCCCCTCAATAATATTTTTTTTCCATTATATCCACTATCAGAGCTTTCCCTGTAAGATATATTTCATGTAACATATTTCTTTTAACATAACTGAAAAAATACACTAGAATTTAAGCAATTAGAAAACATCACATTTTAAAACAGATATAAAATGTTTTCTCTTATACAATATTGGGGTAAATGTAAGAATATAGTATTTACTGCATTGAGTCAAATATATTTTCATTAGAAGGCACAACGCCTTTGCCTCTGTAGGTTCCTGCTGCATGTGGTTTCCTTGACTTATGAAATTTATTAGGATGGGCCCATCAATAATGGCACTGATACTTCCAGCTACCTATAGCACTGGGCTTGAAAATGAACTGTGATGAATGGATATGACCAGCATTTGCAGTGATAGCCTATATTTCTGCTGTCATGTAAAAATGGCAAGTAGTTTAATTTGCCAAAAAAATCACTAAGTAAAATCAAGTATTCCTTATAATTAGGATTTCTGGACACTTTTTAGGATATAAATTCAGAATCTGGTGTCTTTGTTAAAGCCTTTGGAACTGTTTTATTTTATTTCTAGATCTTTTAGCTGTGCCTAAGCATCCGTATGCTGCTATGGAGAACTGGGGACTAAGTATTTTTGTGGAACAAAGAATACTGCTGGATCCCAGTGTTTCATCTATTTCTTATTTGCTGGATGTCACCATGGTCATTGTTCATGAGATATGTCACCAGGTATGAGAAAAAGAATCAGGTGTAAGTATAATGTGAAAGCTATTGAAAATGATTTTGAATACCTACATTAAGAGCTAAATTATTATCCTCCCAAAGAAGTTTTAATTTTATATGGAGCACTGTGTAGTTCTTTCTGGAAGATATGTCATTTTTCTCCAATCATAGAATAAACAAAAACAAACACACTGATCGTATTGAGTAAGCAACTGTCATTCCATTTAGTTGAAGAGTGAGATGGCACTGCCACCCAGCAGCCTCTTTGGAGCCCCTATCTGGTCAGTTATCAACCTTGCTTTATTTTCTTGTGATTATTAGTGTGTATATATGGTAAGTGCAGTGATGGCAATGATTTATTGCATCGCTGCAAGATGCAGCTGAGTTTTGTGTATGTGTCAAAATTTGCTTTGACTGAAATCAATTTGTTATTCCCCTTTTCCCACCACATAGACACTTAGGAAGTCTTTCACTAACTCAGCCATAGACTCTTTGTTCTCAAATGATTGATATTTTTTGTCTTGGCATGTTTAGAAATTCATATGTAAATTTGCCAACTTTGTAGTGAAGCTAAGATAAAATTAATTTCATTTTGATTTTATGCATTTTCTCACAATGAATGGAAGGTATTAGATTTCGCAGTGCTTATGTGAATCTTAATTTTAGTGGAAAAAAATCACTGAAAATAGACGTCCATGCCAATAGAAAGTGATACCTGTCCTGGTTACCAGTATTTATGGAGCTTTAAACTTATAACACCAGATATCTCATTGTGATACAGTGTGATTTCAATAAATTATAAAACCCACACCTTGTTAGAAGCTGAAAAAACTAAGGAAAGAGTGATGTGAAAAATGCCGTCAGTGAAAGAAGGTAAACAGTTAAATGCTGATAAATGAATACTGACTTAATGATGAAGTGATCCGGGTCAGACGACCGTTCTATGTAAATGTCAGCTTTTTTTTTTTTTTTTTTTTTTTTTTTTTTTGAGACTGAGTCTCACTCTGTCACCCAGGCTGGAGTGCAGTGGTGCAATCTTGGCTCACTGCAGTCTTCGCCTCCCAGGTTCAAGTGATTCTCCTGCCTCAGCTTCCCAAGTATCTGGGACTACAGGTGCCCACACCATGCCCAGCTAATTTTTTATATTTTTAGTAGAGACGGGGTTTCACCATCTTGGCTAGGCTGGTCTCGAACTTCCTGACCTCAGGTGATCCACCCCCCTCGACCTCCCAAAGTGCTGGGATTACAGGCGTGAGCCACCGTGCCCAGCCCCTAAATGTCAGTTTTTTGCACTGAACCTGTAAGATGTTTGATGTTTTTATCTGCCTTGTTGACCAGATCTCTGAGGTGTGTTCCTCATCTCAGGCTTAAGGGGGATCCTTTGCAGAGATGACTGGGGCTCCTAGTCTGTACTAAAGAGGATGGTTTTGACCGAATATCATGTAATTATTTGAGACAAAAGCAGTTTCCTTTTTGAATGCTCCTATAAATGACAAGTTAGATATATAGTTCTGTGGAAGTGAAAGCGCACCGATAATGTGTAATTGTTCGGAGAACTGGATTTCATTTGTTTCATATTCTAAGTTACTTTCTTGTTATAGCTTAGTATTTGTAGGCCACTTACTATGGAGTAATGAACCAGAAGCTAGGAGAAACACTTAAAATAATTTCCGTTGTCATTAACCAATTAATTTCTATGTTACCTTTCCTGCCCACCTATTTGTTGTCACAATTCTGAAGATAGGATTTCAAGTTAAAGGAGAAACATGCATTTTTTATTTAAAAAATTATTAAAAGTTAAACATTTACTTTGTGGTCCTCAACATACTGAGAGCTGTTTTTATTTGTATTTCAATGAGAGATCCTCTTGAAGAACAGATACTTTACTGTTACTATTGAAACTGTCAGCCAAGCTTGTTAATGTGGCTCCTAAAGCCATACATGATCTGGTACTTGTCTGCCTTTCTGGACTCTTTCATGCTTTCCTCCTCCTGGTCCACTATGTTCCAGCCGCACAGGTCTTTCTTCTGTTGCTTAAATAGCTCATTCCCACTTAGAGTCTTCACATTAAGGGTTAATTACATCTCCCTGGAATTCTCCTTCCCAAGCCTTTCTCATGGCTGGCTGTCCCTTATCATGGAAGTCTGAGCTCAAATGTCACTTGCTTAGAGAGAATGTTTTTGCTTTTACAATGTAAAGCAGTTCCTCCCTCATTCCTGTAGCAGTTTGTTAGGATCTGAAATTGCGTTGTTCATTTGCTTATTTATTTTTTTATCGTCTACCTCCCCTCATCCCCCCTACCTCTACAATAAAATGTCAGCTGCATGAGGAGGAACATTATCTAACTTTTCTTCACTGAATCTCGTCTTTAGGCTAGCTCCTGGCATATAATGTATTTTTTGCTTTTTAATAAGAAAAGAATTCCTTTAACGTTTTCCTGAACTAAGCAAGTTTCAGAATAATACATCATGATCTAATCAAAACACCTGTTAAAATTACATTATTTTTCATGAAGGCATCTTAGAGAATTTTTTTTGGTTTAAATCCTTATTATAATAGAATCATGGAGAGTCAAGGGTGAGGGACCTCAAAAACCCTTAGTTTTATCAATCAGCAAATATCTTCTCTGAATAGCCTCTGCCACTAGAGGGTGATGCTTACATACCTCCTGTGATGAACTGCTCACTACCTTTCAAGGAAGTATTTTCCCATCTTTGGCCATCTCAGTCTGTTAGAGGGTTTTCTGCGTTTTCAGCAGACATTTACCCATGCTAATTTCCGTTCATTAGTCCTGGTTTGTCCCTTGTAGGGTCACAAGAAACAAGCCTTTCCTCTTCTACGTAATAGGTCTTCAAATATTTGAAGACAGCTCTCATCAGTTTTTCTCTCCTGAGCCCTTTCTTCTCCAAGTCAAATATTCTTTTGTGTTCATTGATTATTCTTTTTTGTTCTTCTCTGAAAGCATGTATAAAAAAACTAGTGTCACCCAAGTACTCAGATAAATCAATACAGTTTTGCCACAACACATTTTAAGATCACAAAATCAACTGGGGAATGAATTCCAGTTATAATAATCATAGTTTAATACATGTAATTTTAGATAAAATAGTTTGGGGATAGATTTTATTTTATTTGATGACCATTAATTTTGTTACTGCAGTGGTTTGGTGACCTTGTGACGCCTGTGTGGTGGGAAGACGTGTGGCTGAAGGAAGGGTTTGCTCACTACTTTGAATTTGTTGGTACAGACTACCTCTATCCTGGCTGGAACATGGTAAGTGCACTTGAATTATTTGAAACTTTTAGTAAAAGGCCGATCTAGTGTTACATTAGGCTTATACCATCCTTAGAGATGACTAAAAATACCAACTGATGCATGAAAATGTATCAATAAAGTGTAACCAAAAATTGAAATGTTAGTATTCTTAAAGAGTCATCTTTTACTTATTAGGAACTATATAATCTGATTTGCTATTCATTTGCTTCAAAATGCCACAATTTACCTGAATAGAAATATTTTCAATTGTAGTATTTTATAGTAAAGGCAAATTGTCCTTTAAAATAAAGAAGTCAAGAGTAATTAATAATATTTTAAATATACAGAATATATCAAACAGAAAAATGAGGACTTGACATCTCATTCATGAGATAAAACACAAAAAATACCTAAAAGATACGATGTATTATTGTTGTAGATATATGTATTTTAGGATTAAATGACTTAATAAGAGGTCATTAATTTTATATATGAAGTTATTCATATTATACCTATACTTTAGGAATGTCAGAACTTGAAGAAAGGTTTTTGTGCCTTAAGCTGTGCTGTTATAGGGCATCCTAGAAGAAAAAGTAGAGGGAGGGTGTAGTTTTGCTATATGTCTTTTTATATCAGTTTTTCATTTTATATAAGCTTTCACTGATCAATATGTGACAGTGTGATTATTAAATAGAACCCGGGGTATATATATGTTGTTCTGAAATTCAAATTTAAATTTATTTTAAGTGGTACTATTAAATTAAGTAAAAATTGCAATGTACCAATACTTATCAATTTCCAAAAGCTCAACTTTTATTTGTGACATAGCGTAGGCGATTATGTATATATATACACACGCACATATATATGCACACACACATACATATATATACATACATATATATACACATACATATATGTATATATTGTTTTAAAGCACTTTATTGAGGCAAGATTGACATACAAAATGCTGTACATATTTAATGTATGCAACTTGATGAGTTTGGAGATAAGTGTACATTCATAAAACAAATGGTCACCACAGTCTATGCCATAAACATATTCATCACCTCCAAAATTTTCTACCTATCTTCTTTACTTATTGTTATTTGGTGATAAGAACACAACATAAGATCTGCCCTTCAGGAAGTTTTCAGGTGTGTGATGCAGAATTATTGAATATACACATTATGCTCTATAGTAGATCTCTAGGACTTATTCATCTTGCATGACTGAAGCTTTGTACACTTTGTCTAATACATCCTTGTTTCCTCCTCCCCCAAGCCTCTGGCAACCACCATTTTATTCTCTGCTTCTGTGAATTTGACTATTTTAGATTTCTTATAGAAGTGGAATTATGTAGTATTTGTCTATTTTATCTCGCTTGGCATGAAGTACCAAGTTCACTCATGTTGTTACAAATGGCAGAATTTCTTTCTTTTTTAAAGGCAGAATAGTATTCTCTTGCGTGTATACACCACATTTTCTTTATCCATTCATCTGTCAGTGGATCGATTGCTTCCAAAAATATTTTATACTGCTCTCTTTTGATGTTCTAAAGTAGTAATAGGCAGTTATCTACTTGTCTGTTATTGTTCCAAGTATAATTTGAAGAACACGTAAACCAAGGTAAAATATGAAAGCATCTGTAAGTCATCATATAACTTCTCCAACATAAATTTAAACGACTCCTGCTGAGAAAAAAAAATGAAATTACTTTAACAAAAATGTGAAGATAGTAATACCATATCAATGTGTTTTAATTATTTTCATGCAATTTTACTGATATTTTATGAAGGCAACATGACTCACTTGCACAAATCTACAAGATAAGTTTATTTGATTTATGTGCCTAGGCATTTATATATGTATAACATAATTTTAATATCTTAATTGAAGTGTTTTATTTTGGCATTCAAATTAATTAACAATGCCTTTAAATGACACTGAAGAAAAATCAGCAATACAACATTATATTATTGGAAGTATTCTTTAAAAAACATGTAATTTTAAAATGTAAATGTTTACGGTAACTGAAACATTTCCAAAAGTATCTTTTGGTTTTTGATGACTTTCCACCAACTTTGTTTAAATTTCTCATTTAATTTTTATTATACTGTGGATTATTCCTGATTTATAATTTCATTATGTTTCAATATTAAAAGATGTCCTTATTACAAGTGATGTGTTATGCATAGGTGTTGCTTTTTTTAGCTCATTCAGATACCTGTGATAAAATTCTTTCTATTCACCATTATGAAAAATGCATCTTAGATTTAAAAGTAGTCAACAGAATTATACATGGGGTGAAAAGTGACAGCTTTTGATTGTTTTAGCATGGTAATATATCTTCAGTTTCAGTATCCTCATTCCAAATTTTGTCTTTGAATGACTTTTCATATTTCTTCATCATTTTATCAGTTACATTGTAAATATAGGAATTCTGGAAAATATTTTTAGAGGTATTGAAAATGAACACAGAGTGTAAATAAGACAACTGAGACTTTGTTCTTAATTAAACACAGACCATGCATTAGGAGTATAAAAACCTTGAGGTGAGTCAGATATAAGATTTGATCACTTCTAAATCCATATTTAATAATTAAGAAATGAAAACTAACAACAGAATAATTACGGTGTCACAGAAAACTCATCCTATTAAAGTAAAAAATGAAATAATAAACTCCATCACATTTAATTACACAGTTAATAGTGAGAAGAAACAAGTCTTATTATGATGGGTTTTTTTTGTTTTTGTTTTTGTGTTTTTTTGAGACAGAGTCTCACTTTGTGGCCCAGGCTGGAATGCAGTGGCACGATCTTGGCTCACTGCAATCTCTGCCTCACAGGTTCAAGTGATCCTCATGCCTCAGCCTCCCAAGTAGCTGGGATTACAGGTGTGAGCCACCACGCCGGGCTAATTTTTGTATTTTTTGCAGAGACAAGGTTTCACTATATTGGCCAGGCTGCTCTCGAACTCCTGACCTTAGGTCATCCACCTGCGACAGCCTGCCAAAGTGCTGGGATTACAGGTCATGATGTGTTTTTGTGTTCAGGTTATATAGATTTAAAAAGCTTTCTGCTATTTGATTGCTTTTGCTTTTTAGTTTGTGAGATAGCTCAATATAAATCCAGAAAACCTACAAGTAGAAACTCTATAAACAAATTGCCCCTCCATATATAATTAATACCTTCTTTGCAAACAATTAAGAATAAGATAGCCACATAAATAAGAGAGGATATTAAGTGCCTTGAAGGCTCTGCCAGCACGAATTTTCATAATGGCATCAGCAAAAGAGTGAAAGAAATACTCAAAAGGACAAGAGTAATGGCTGTGTCAGCAGTAACTCATACTATTGTGATATGCGTAAAAGCTTGTCTGTAAGTGCATGGCTTAAGGTTCACTACACCTGAGCCTGTAATAGAAAAACCAGAAGTCAGGCTCATGTCAGGAGTAAAGAAATTCAGGAAGTTGACCTCTTTTGCCATTAATCTCAAAAACAGTGCTTTTTTAGGCATCAAGGCTCAAACACTGAAAAACAATTTTATCTGCTAGAGAGATACTATGGCAATCTACCTTCCATGGACTAGCAATAAAGAAGCCTAGAATTACATAGTATTGTTAAGGAGGCTCTTGTTCTGACTTAGGCCAGTATACTTCGCTTAACTGTTAGTAAAATCTTAGGTTGTATGTATGTGTGTTTTCAGAGCCAGTTTCTGATATAGAATTAAGGAATACTACATATGATAAAATTATCACAATAAGCATTTTGTGATAATTTTGTCCTCTAGCAAACTAATCAACTTTACCATTTTATAGATATGGGGTTTTACAGGAAGTATGATACAAGTCAGGGGGATAGATTGGAAATAAGAAGCTCAGATTTCAAGGAAGGCATTTCCCCTTTCTAACTCATCCTTATCATTTGAAAATGGGAGAATTATACTGACTTAGTAAGTCCACATAATTTTTTTGAAGACAAAATAACTTATGAGGTCTTTGAAATGTATGAACCACTCTACAAATGTAAGTAGGCATCATGGGCCTGGGAAAATGAAAGCTCTATTAGAAAAGTACATTGATTTTTTGTATAGATAAGCTAACATTTCCAACCCTAGTAATCCATTTTGGCTTCTTAGGCTTATACCAATTATTTATACGTACAAAATAAACTTGGTATCTAGATTCAGTCTCACCAAATAAATTCTTATCTATACTGGCAATGTGGACTATTCCATAGGAACATAAGCCTTAGATAATGTTTCATTCATCAAAGAGAAGTGTCAAGATCATTAGAAACGACCTCCTCAGCTTAGGGCTGAAGACACATTTCAAAGAGGATTCATAGCATGAATAGTCTTTTTGCTTGATGTTATTTTATCAAAGTTGGCTGTTAGTGACAACATTATTGGATGGATTAAGTTACAGTATGCCATTGATGGCAATCATATTAAATCTTATTGTGTTTCCTCAAAAGAGATAAAAAGAAGGACTGACACAGCACAGTAACTGTTCTTCAACAACTCTTGATCATTTTAATTTGAAAAAAGTTTATGTTAAAATTTTAATACAGCAGAAAGTTGCTTATTAAAATACTGCAATGGAGAACTCCTTATTTTAAAGATCTGGTGCCGATGCAGGTCAAGTCATATCCTCTGTGCATAGTGCATAGGTGTCATTATAATTTGTGTTGTCTATATTCTAGGTGACTCCTTCAGGTTCCTGAATATAGCATTACAAGAAAGTGCTTCTATAATGAGAATCATTAAACATGAGTGTATGTTCTTTCATTAAAGAAATTGGGAAGGTAAAGAGCTTCACGCACCAAAAACATTATAAGTTATACTTTGATAAAGTCAGCAGACTGGAAATTTTCTCTTAATTTTTGTAAGGACACATACCTGGGCATAAAGATAATTATTAATGCAACTGAAGTTCAGTCTGCAAAATAACTCCTCTGAAGTAATAAACTAGAAGGTGATCCAAATGTTTTAATTTATTGATATTTTATTCTCAAATGACTGATACCCAGTGAATGTGAGAAATTTAAAGGCTTCTTAGGGCTGGACCCAAGGGCTTTTGGTCTTTTTGATCCTGTTCAGTTGCTTAAAAGTGACATTTACATTGAGAGACCATAAGGAAGTGGAAAGCATGCCTGTTTGGGTCTCATGGAATCCCAGTCTTTGAAATGGACCTCTTCTCTGACTGCGTTTTCCTTTCTCTGTTCCCTCCTGCTTTTTAAGGCTATTTTATTTTTACTCAACAGAAGTTGAGAAAATCATTGACTAACTGAAATATAGCCGATTTGCTCAGCAAGCAAACTTTTTTCCTTACTGAAAATATAAACGTCTTTTTAAGAATAGAAACATGTTTTTCCGTTTAAGAGGAACTGGGGACCTGCAGCTCCCTGTTACGGGAGAAAGGTTTGCTTTTCTCCTGGCATTTGCAGTTAGAGAAGATTTTGGCATTGGTGGATAATGTGCCTATAGCAAAGACAAAGAAACTACAAGGAGGATATAAGAGCAGCAATGAGAGCAGCAGCTAATGCCATTAAAGCAAAATATCTCCTGTGCTGTAGTTGTACACTGAGTATATGCTTGAGGAATCCTAATGTGCATATGCCCCATGCATTGAGAATTAAACTAGAACTCTAAGTGTGTATGTATTCAGATAATTCAAAAAGAATGTCAGAGTTAAGCAGGCCTGACACTGGAATCTAACCAGTGGAGACTGAATAGATATTAATACTTTTTTTTAGCAAAAAAAAAAAAAAAAAAACAAAAACAGTTAAAATGAGAGCTTTACCTGTTACACTAACAGGTTAAACTAGCTTTCACTGAGGCTAATGCAATAACAACCTATATTTACATTTTTTTCTCATTTTAGGACTAATTCTGTGCATTTCAGAATGTCTTGTTGTGGCACTGGTTAACATGGCATTGGCCATGTTAAGAACATCTGTTAGAAAGATGAATGAGTAAGGCTGGACAATCTTTGTTAATTGTTGAAGTATATTAACTGATGTAGAAATTGTGTAGCACAGATACATTTTTGAGTATAATACTACAACTGAAGAATATATAATATATACATGTTTTCATTTTGTTTGCACTTGTAGTTCTTATATAAAAATCAAGACTTTGGATTCACAGTTGCTTGGGAAATAGAAGCTTTTGAAGAGCCTCAATGTTATAAAGATGTGTTAAGTTTCAGGAAATGAAAATCTGTTTCTTTCATTGCTTCAAATGGAAGACTAGCTTTTACTAAGTAAGATATCTTTAGAAAAGGAAGATAAAACAAGCATAATTCATTAGTATTCGTGTATATTCACTGTATATTAACATATATTTCTATCTACTCAGGTAAGCATCTGGAAGGTGTGTTAGTCACATTACCTCACATCCTTTCCTATATGAATTTTTAAAATTTAAAATAAAGCTGAAAATTAAAAAAATTATACATGTTTTTAAAGGATTTTTTTTTGTTTTTTTTTAATTTTTATTTTATTATTATTATACTTTAAGTTTTAGGGTACATGTGCACAATGTGCAGGTTAGTTACATATGTATACATGTGCCATGCTGGTGTGCTGCACCCATTAACTCGTCATTTAGCATTAGGTATATCTCCTAATGCTATCCCTCCCACCTCCCCCCACCCCACAACAGTCCCCAGAGTGTGATGTTCCCCTTCCTGTGTCCATGTGTTCTCATTGTTCAATTCCCACCTATAAGTGAGAACATGCGGTGTTTGGTTTTTTGTCCTTGCAGTAGTTTACTGAGAATGATGATTTCCAATTTCATCCATGTCCCTACAAAGGACATGAACTCATCCTTTTTTATGGCTGCATAGTATTCCATGGTGTATATGTGCCACATTTTCTTAATCCAGTCTATCATTGTTGGACATTTGGGTTGGTTCCAAGTCTTTGCTATTGTGAATAGTGCCGCAATAAACATACGTGTGCATGTGTCTTCATAGTAGCATGATTTATAGTCCTTTGGGTATATACCCAGTAATGGGATGGCTGGGTCAAATGGTATTTCTAGTTCTAGATCCCTGAGGAATCACCACACTGACTTCCACAATGGTTGAACTAGTTTACAGTCCCACCAACAGTGTAAAAGTGTTCCTATTTCTCCACATCCTCTCCAGCACCTGTTGTTTCCTGACTTTTTAATGATTGCCATTCTAACTGGTGTGAGATGGTATCTCATTGTGGTTTTGATTTGCATTTCTCTGATGGCCAGTGATGGTGAGCATTTTTTAAAGGATGATTGTTAAAGCAAAGTCATTTTGCTCAGAAAGATGGTTTCAGGTCTTGTATACTTTAAACCTAGAGATTTAAAATGAATGAGTATTCCCTATGGAATAAAGTATTTCTTCTGAGCACTGTGTTGGGATTTGCATAGTGTCAAGGTCCTTTTACATTTTTGTAGGAGTTTCAAAACCAACCAGTAACTTTACAGCATTAGATGCTTTCTAAGAAGAAAACACTTACTAAACCTGGAGTCTAACAATAATGCAAGGCCATCCTTTCTCATATCTAGAAATACCGAGGGGAAAATGAACCTATTCATTCTCTTTTCAAGTAAGAGCAGTTTGTAAGCAGAATATTCCAGTTTGCTAAAAAACTGTCAGACACCACTTGATAAACCAAAAAATTGATAATGCCAAAAATTATACCAAAATGACAAAATGTCTTCTTAGATATTATTATTCTCAAATATATAATAGTGGCCATAGCATATTAGACCACTATTTTATCTCTCCTTCTCACCACTCCTGGTAAAAACGTTATTCTCTTTTAATATATGAATGTTCAACATCTGCTATTATTCAGCATTTCCCCAGGTAAAATGAATTTGCCTTGCAAAGCCTCTAGCATGAACATAGCCAAAACTAAAAGCTGGGGACTCAGAGGGCAACCAAAGAAAAATTCATTAATTTTCTAATTATTAATCATCCTTAACCAGACAGCTATATGTTTTAAAAGACATTAGAACACAACTCATTTCTAAGCAAGGAGTGATTGTCTCAGTCCATAACACTTTATGGGACTTTTCTTTTTTCTTTTTATCAAGGTTACTTTAATACTGTTCAAGATATCCCTAGACAAGGATGCCAGAAATGAAAGTAGTGAGTTCAAGTGATAGAATAAAAAAAAAAAAAACCAGAAAAATAGAAAAGAGCCTCCTGTGAAGAGAAAGTTAAAAAAAAAAAAAGGATAATTTGAGGTTGATGAAGATTTTGCCTCAGTTACTCCTTTATCCGTTTTAATAGTAAAGACTCGTGTAGCATTTACTTTGTACCTCTCAACACTTTACATATATTAATTCACTGTGAAATAGAGTAAGACCTGTCAGTACCTGGAGAATGTCAAATTTCTCTACAGTCTTTTTTTTTTTTTTTTGAGTCTGAAGAGTATTATATTGGCTAGATCACTGTTCAGTTCTGCCATTCAGGCAGCTCTTCTCAACCATTAATTCAAAAGATATTTTTGCTAGAACATGTTTTGACACTGAGCTGAATAACTTCTGTGGATATACCATTCACAAACTTGAGTGAGCTCCCTTTGAAAATTGTTATGTCTTTAGCTTTGTACCTTTTCCTAGGATTGATGAAATTAAATTCCACTGATTACAGTCTTATTTTTGTCAGTTTGTGTCATATACATCATTAAAGATGAAGATACATGGGAATGCTTTTCTCCCCTTAGCACCCACTTCAAAAACACCTGTGTCCAATTAATTCCCTTAATCATTTTAGTTTTTCTTCTTCAGATTTTATTTATAGTTCAGTGAGGCCCTTCTTAAGTGCTGTTAATGGTATATTAGGTCAATAATTTTATATAAATTAGTTTGATGTATTGCTGCTACATTTTCTCTCACTCTATTCACTCATATATTTCATTCATTCTATTTATTTCCATCAGAGAATTGTCAAGCACCTAAAATGAGCCACTTGTGCTAATTTCTATGGAATAAATCTCATGATAATATGGAATTGGTATCTATCAGTTTCTTGTATACTTTGTATTTATCTTTTGCTTGGTGGCTTCAGTTAGTAGATGTGGATAAATTTAGGAAATTTTTTTTTATTGGCTCTTAGCTGACCGATATACTTCTGTCAGAAGTAGCTTTTTTACAGAGCAGCTCAAAAATACAGAGCCATCACCTCAATCAGGTTGTTCTAATTCATAGATATATTTGAAAAATAAAATTGGGCATGGTAAGTTTCAGAGGATTAGCAAAATCATAGAATAATCAGAACATTTAGCTACCTATTATTATTTTTATATTACATGGCTTAAACATATTTTGTAATGTTTGCTCAGATTAACCTAGTTACAATGGCCATTTCATTAGATTTTTGAGTATCTTTCTGCTCAGGTAAGTTATGCTTTTAAGTCTTGCTTCTTTCCCTAAATATCACAGCTTTGCTTGCAAGATAGGTTACTTAAATAGCAGATTTCTGTTCTTTTGATTGTAGTGGCAGTGGTGGTAGTATGGTGGAATATTTTCATCTAAATATTGTTTATTTTATAAGTTTCCTGATTAAAGACAAGTTTAGATCGATTGCCCCTTCAGAGGAAAATTTGGCATTAATTACATTCTGTTCCTAACTATTTGCATGACTGGTCCAATTTGAAGCACTTGAATCATGATACACTATTGGTGGTGACTAATGAAAAACTAAAAAAATCTATAAACAAATTTGTTGCCCTAGTTTTAAAACAGGGAACTTTTCTTGAAATTGTTGGCTTCTTTAGAGAGATGACAGGACATATAACTTACAGGCCTAAAAATAATTTGGCTTCCTACAACAAGATAGTATTTTCTATTTATTGCTAAGTATTTTGCTGGCATATTTGGGCTCTTCACTGACCAAATATTTACAAGGATTAATCTACATTGACTTGTTCTCTTTCTTCTTTCATTTAATAAACATTTACTGTATGCCTCCTCCCTTTTTTTTTTGGCTGGTTTCTCAGTCAGGGATGGGAGACACTCAAATAAGTATGGAACATCAATGCCCTCTAAGTCTCACAGACCTATTTTACCAATTTAGTTAGATTATCTTTGTTAGAGTTAGAGTAATGAATGCTACTTTACAGTTAGCCAGAATGAAGTTCAATTCCTTTTTCTACCTATCCCATGAATTAAATTTTTGGCTGTCTGCTACTTAATAGCTGTGTGATCTTGTTTATCCAGCTTCAAAATATGTATGAAATCCCCATGTTGTTTATATCACAGACTAGTTTTAAGAATTAAAGAAACTTATATTCTTACTATCATTTTTAACCAATATTTTTGTTATTATTAGGTACTTAAGTATAATAATATTACCTGCAGGGTAATCATATTTTAACATTTTTATACTTTATAAATGGATTGCAAGTTCAGATTTTACATTCTGAAGAGCAAAGCTTTTCTCTACTAATTATACAATCAGTTTATAAATATAATAGTTTACTTTGAAATGCAGTTTTATATGATAGGTTCTTAATTGATTAACTTTCTGGGCTCTTCGTACTCTATATGTTCTGGAGTTGTTTGCTCTGGGTTATCAAAATTTTCAAATTTCAAAAAATGCTTTTTAGTTTCATTGGAAATATAAAGACTTCTTATTATCTGACAAATGTTAAGGTTTTATCAGACTAGGTTATTTGATAGATTGACAATTCATATCACATTGAAAGTAAAGTACAAAAATGGTTTGTTTTATAAAATCTATTGATCAATTAATAAAAATTAATAATTTTGTTACAGAATTAAGATCAGTTGTATGGCTATTTATTTTATAAATTAAAATAACATAAATTCATCACCATGTTAATAACTTCTGGGAGTCGATTAGCTCATCCTTGGAATTATTCCAAACCTGAATGGTATGAGACAGTTTCCATTAGAAATTTAAACAGAAATATAATCTGTTTAAGAAAATTAGTCGTATACATTTAAAAATGCTCTGAATTACATTTTGTCAAATATTAAAATGCCTTAATTCTCTCAAGTGTCTGCAAAATATTGGAGATTCCTTATGACTAATGTGCAAAATGAATGGATAAGTATGAAAAAAGATTAGCCAATTTGATTTTGTTGAAATGTCCTATCAGATTGTTAAAAAATTTAGCATGCAGGAAAATATTCTTACCACCAAAGTAGGTATAAAATTCTTGAAAAGGTGAAGGAAGTATTATCTCTTAGAAACTTAAAATCTATGGACAGGATCCTGAAGTGACATTTTCTAGAAGAATGGGAATGTTCATGTTAACTAGCAAAGAAGAGAAAGCAAGTATTCCCCACTAATGATATATGCTTTATCAGATTAGAGACTGTTTGTTTCACCATCATTTCCCAGCATTTATTTAAAAGTTTAGCATATATGAGATGTTCAGCAATACAAGTCTGGCCAAAAATTAACAGAAAATTATGAAATGAATGTTAACAAATGTCAAGATCACTTATGAAAGATTATAAGAGTTTCTATGTTGCTATTAGGAATGCATTCATTGAACAAAAGAAGACATTGAAATTAGAATATGTATGAAACTATGTTGGATAAATGTTTTGAGGAAACAGGAAAAGGTGGCAACAAATCCTAAAGGTTGGTTGTCAGCAAGATGGCCAACAAGAAGTTTTTAGTGCTCTTTTCCCCCACAAGAAAAGTCCCCAGACAACAAAGAAATAACTACATTTTGACCAAAATAACTAAAAGAGAGCTCCATAGAACAGCAAAGAAACAGCAGAAATCTAGTAGAGCACAGAAACTCAGGATGGCTACATAGGGAAGGGAAGGAAATTCATTGCCTCCGTCACCCCATTCCCTGAGTTGGGATCAACTCAGAACCAGGAGGGACTTCTTCCTGCAGAGAAAAGGTAAGCAAGAGGACCCAGGTAGCCTCAATCACCACCATGGATGCTGCAGTTTTTGCTACTAGAGACTCCTTCAGTCTTCGTAGGCTCTGAGCCCAGCTGAAGAAGCTCTCCAGAGTCCACACACTGAGCTACACCCAGAGAAGGAGTGTGGCTATTCCCCATCCCCATGGCTCAAGTTGCTACTGTGCTGTGCCACCTTGAATCAGAGCCACTATTAGAGTGTGTCCTGCTCCAGGGGTGAGTAGTCATTGTACCCTTCCATCCCTGAGACTTTGCTGCCCCTGCAATATGCCCACCTGGTAGCATGCCATTCCTGAGCTGATCTGCTGCTATTCTTTACCTCCTAGAGGCAAGCTACTTTGGAACTGCTCCAGCCTCTGCATTCCAGCAGCTGGTGCACCCACCTCTTAGAGCTGAGCTGAAGTAGCACTCCAGCCCCTGGGGACCTCAGGCCTCCTGCACACCAGAGCAGTCACGCCTCTGGCACCACAGCTGAGGGACATCAGGGGCCTCTGCCACACCAGAGCAGTTGACCCCTCCCCATTCTACAGGTGAGGCAGCATCCTGTCCCTGGGGAGCCAAGTCTCAGGAATACAAGCGCAGTTTCACCCCCAATGTCACAGCTAACTCGGAGTCCTGCCCCATACAAAGGGATGCAGAGGCTCTGTTGACCCATGTAGCCACATTTTATGGGGCTGAGAAGATGTAACATCTTGTTTCCTGGAGAATCAGAGCTTTGGCTGAGCTGTACTATCTTGACCTCCAGGCTGAGTAGGTGCCCTGCTTGAGATTCTAAGATGTCCCACTTCTGTGGGGAGTGGTCATTGCTGCACTGCTTCCCACCCTTCAGCTCCCAAGCCGTATTGGCATCTTGCTATTTCTGAGTACTTGCTGCTGCTGCACCTGGTGTCACAGAACCCATACATCTTAGTTCCAACCTCTCAGGGTCTACAGTCACCACTGTGTGGTACCTCATACCCCACTGTGTTTTGTTGGTTCCAGGTCCTGCATTGCTGCTGTATCCTGCTCCAGGAGGCCTTAGCCACTGGAGAACCTATTTTCCCCCAGAGACATGTCAATACTGTGCCTGGACCCTTAGGATCAAAACTACAGCCACACCCCAGTTCCCTGGGTCCAGGTTGCTGGGATGTACCTCAGAGCAACAGTTCTTAGCTTAGTGGGAGAACTGCATCTACTCATACCTTGGAAAGTGAAGCTGCACCTCAAGTCCCAGGTGCTATAATAGTTAGTTTTACAAGACCCTGATCCCAGAAACCTGTCTTCACAGTTTCTCTGATCACCTGTGCTTTGACTCCAAGTACCACGTGCCTGTGGGCCATGTCAGACATGACACCAAGAGAGATCCCCTCAGATAAGACTCCTACTGTAGGGAAGATAAGAAGAGAAGGATCCCTAAAGCCCTTGCACTAATAACCTATGCAGCCACCATCACTTCCACAAATTCCTGCAGCCAAGACCACTGAGGTACCACAATTATTGCTAATGTAGATAACAACTGAAGAAGCTAGACAGAGACTACACCACTGCACCCGCATGGAACCAGAGCAACTTCACCCTGCCCAACTGACACCCATATGTCCATCTGCAGGTGAAAGTATTAGCCTCCAAAAGCCACTCTTAGCTTAGAATAAGTGACCGCACCACTAAGTATGCAAACATACATGCAGGGACACAAGAAACATGAAAAAGCAAGGAAACCTGACTCTATCAAAGGACATAATAATTCTTCAGTAACTAACCTGCAAAGAAACGGAAATTTACAAATTGCCTAAAAAGGAATTTAACATAATAATCTTAGGGAAACTCAACAACATACAAAAAGAATACAAATAGACAATGAAATCAGGAAAGCAATTCATTATCTGAGTGAGGAGTTAAACAAGAAGAGATAGATATTTAAAAAGAAACAAATCAAATTTATGGAGCTGTAGAGTTCAGCTATAAATAAAAAATACACTGAAGAGCTTCAGCTGCAGACTAGAACAAAAAGAAGGAAGAATCTTGAAGATAGGTCTTTTGAAATGATTGTCAGAATTTTTTTTTTACAAAATTAAAAACTGTAGATAGTCAATGGGATTTATAGGACACCATTAAGTAAAGAAATATTCATATTATGCAATTTTCAGAGGAAAAGAGACAGAAAAAGAAAGAGAAGGCTTATTTAATGAAATAATTGCTGAAAATTCCTAAGTCTTGGAAGTGATATTGTCAGTAGTCCCCAAACAGTCGCCAAACAGAAATAACTCAAAGATGTATTCTCCATGGACCATTTTGATCATACTGTCAATAGTGAAAGACAAAGAGAATATTTTAAAAGCAGCAAGAGAAAAGCATAGTCATATATAAGGAGACCTCCATTAGACTATCAGTGTATTTCTCAGCAGATATCTTACAGGCCAGGAAAGAACGGGATGATATTTTCAAAGTACTGAAAGAAAATAAAAACCCTTTTAGACAAGAATACTATACCCAGCAATTTTGTCCTTCAGAAACTAAGGAGAAATAAAGTATTTCTCAGACAAGCAAAAGCTAAATGAATATATTACCACTATACTTACAAGAAATACTTAAAGAAGTTCTTCAAATGGTAATTAAAGAATGTTAATTACTATCATGAATATGTATAAAAGTATAAAACTACTGGTAGAGGTAAATGTATAGTCAGATCCAGAATACTTCAACATAGTGACGGTGATATATAAATCCAGTATATCTTTAGTATGAAGGTTAAAAGTCAAAAATAATTAAAGCTACAAAAAGTTGTCCAGGAACACACAATATAAAAGATGTAAATTGTGACATTAAAAACCTAAACTGTGGAGGGAGATGGTAAAAGTTCAGAGTTTTTGTATGCAACAGAAGTTAAGTTGTTATCAGCTTAAAACAATTGATTATAAGATGTTTTATTTAAGCCTCATGACAACCACAAAACAAAAAAAAATTCAACAGATACACAAGCAATAATTAGGAAGGAATCAAAGCTCAGAATTACAGAAAATTTTCAAATCACAAAAGTGGATAATAAGAAAGGAAGAAAGAAGCAAAGGAGTTATAAAACAACCAGAAAACAAAGAATGAAATGGCAATAGTAACCTATCAATAATAACCTTGACTGTAAATGGCTTAAATTATTTAATCAAAAGACATAGAGTGGCTGAGTGTATAAGAAGACAAGATCCAACTAGATGCAGCCTACAAGAGACTCACTTAAGCTTTAAGGAGACACACAGGCTGAGAGTGAAAGGGTGGAAGGACTCCATGTAAATTGTAACCAAAAGAAAGCAGGGCTGGCTATACTTATATCTGATAAAATAGACTTCAAATCACAAACAATCAAAAGAGGCAAAGATGGTTATTACTTAATGAGAAAGGGGTTAAATCAAGAGAATATAAATATTGTAAATGTGTATGCACCCAACACTGGAGCACCTAAATATGTAAAGCATGTATTAATGGACATGAAGGGAGAAATGAATAGCAATACAATAATAGGGACTTCAATACCCACTTTCAACAATGGAAACATCAATCAGATATAAAATCAATAAGGAAATATTGTACTTGAGTTGCATTTTTGACCAAATGAACCTAGTAGACATATATGGAACTTTTTATCCAATAGCAGCTGAATATACATTCTTCTCTAGGACACATGGAACATTGTTCAGAATAGACCATATGTAAGGCCACAAAACAAGTCTTAGAAAACTTAAGATGATTGAAATCATAGATAGCATCGTTTCAGACCACAGTGGTCTGAAACTAGAAATCAATAACAGATAATTGTGAAAAATTCACAAATATGTGGAAATTAAACAACATGCTTCTGAACAACCAATGGGGCAAAGAAGAAATCGAAGGAAATTAAAAAATATACTGAGACAAATGACAATGAAAACAAACATACAAAAATCTATGAGAGGCAGCAAAAGCAGTTCTAAGGGAGGATTTTATAGTAATAAATGCCTACATTGAAAAAGAATCAAGCTCCAAAATAAATCACCTAACATTACACTTCAAGGAATTAGAAAAAGAAGACCATACAAAATCTTAAATTAGCAGGAGAAAAGAAATAATAGAAATCAGAGCAGAAATAAATCAAATACAGAATGGAAAAACCATAGAAAAAATCAATAAGACTTAGAGATTTTTTTTGAAAAAAAAAATACAAAATCATCAAGCTTTTAGCTAGCCTAATTAAGAAAAAAGAAGACTCAAACAAAAAACAAAAAAAATTAAAGTGAAGAAGTTTGAACAGATAACTCAGAAATAAAAAAGAATACCCAAATAAATGGAAATAAATCACATGCTCATGGATGTGAAGAATTAATATGTTAAAATGTCTATATTACCGAAAGCAATGTACAGATTCAACATGATTCCTCTCAAAATCCCAAGGGCATTATGCACAGAAATAGAAGAAAACAATTCTAAAATTTATATGGAAACATAAAAAACCTTGAATAGCCCAGGCAATCTTCAGCAAAAGAACAACGCTAGAGACATCACACTTCCTGATTTAAAATATGTTACAAGGATATAATGATCAGAAGAGGGTGGTACTGGCATTAAACTAGACACATAGACCAGTGGAAAAGAATACAGAGTCCAGAAATAAATCCAAATATATACGCTCTGGTAATTTTTCACAATGCCACCAAGAAGACACGATGAGAAAAAGATTGTGTCTTTAATACATGGTGCTGAGAAAGCTAGATTTCCATATGTCAAAGAATAAAATGAGACTCTTGTCTTACACCATCCATAGAAATCAACTCAAAATGGGTAAGACCTAAATGTAAGAACTGGAACTATAACACTTTTAGATGAGAACATAGGGGAAAAACTCTTGGACATTGTTGTTAACAACGATATCTTGGTGTGATGCACCAAAAGCTCAGGCCACAAAAGAAAACATAAATAAATGGGACTACATCAAACTAAAAAGCTTCTGTACAGCAAAGGAAACAACAAAATAAAATGGCAGCCTATGGATTGGGAAAAAAAGTTTGCCAGCCATATATCTGATAAGGTATTGATGTCCAAAAGATATAAAGAACATATACAACTTAATAGTAGAAAAAATAATTGAAAAATGAGCAGAAGACCAGAATAGACATGTCTCCAAAAGAGACATAAAAATAGCCAGCAGATATATGAAAAGATGCTCAACATTGGTAGTCATCAGAGAAATGCAAATGAAAATCATGAGATACCACTGCATACCTGCTAGGATGACTATTATCAAAAAGTTAAAAGATAACCAATGTTGGAAAAGTTGTGGAGAAAAGGAAAGTCTTGTACACTTGGTAGGAATATACAGTTATTATGGAAAATAGTATGGAAGTTTCTTAAACGATTAAAAATAGAACTACCACATGACCCAGCAATCCCTCTTCTGCATACATACCCAAAGGAAATGGAATCACCGTCTTGTAAAGATATCTATACTTCAGTGTTCACTGAAGCATTAGTCACAATAGCCAAGATATTGAAACAGCCTAAGTGTTTGTCGATGAGGAAATTTTGTGTATAAATACACACACACACACACACACACATTTTGTTCAAAAGAATAAAATCTTGCCATTTGTCATACCATGGATATGTCTGGGACAAATTATGCTAAGTGAATAAGCTAGACACAGAAAGAACAATATTGCATGATTTCACTAATATGTGGAATCTGTAAAAAAAAAAAAAAAACAACCCTTGAATATATAGAGATAGAGAAGAAAGCAGTGGATACAGGTGGAGAGGTGGTCCAAAAATGGGAAGATGTAGTTAAGAGGATACAAATTAAGTTATGTAGGATGAACAAGTCTAGAGGTCTAAGATACAATATGAGGACTATAAATAATAAAATTGTACTGTGTCTGTGATTCATGCTAAATGAGTCGATTTTAGCTGCTCTTGCCACAAAACCAAAAAAAAAAAAAAAAATAGATAGCTGTGAGATGATGGATATGTTAATTTGCTTCACTATAGTAACTATTTTACTATCTATGTATATCCCATGTTATGTTGTATACCTTAAATTTACACAATAATATTTATTAAAAAGAATACAATCAATTCATAGTTTAAGCAACTAAAAAAGAAATCCTCAAAAATAAATGAAAGCTAAATGACATGCATATTTTTAAAGGGTTATATGAAAGCACATGGCATATGGAGATTATTTGCAGTGATTTTTTGGGCCGCGAGAATCAGAATGAGCTATGTAATTAGACAACCTGTTCGTAATTATTACTGTGATTGACATTATTTGAAGCACATTCACAATTGTTCCACAAGACCCAGGATTATCATAATTAATGAAAATGTGAGTGACTGATTGATAACTTCTGCTGTATCAATATTGCTATATTTTTAAGGTTCTTGAGTAAGTCTGCAGAATAATAATAATTTGGTTGTATATCATTAAGTTCATTTTGTGTTCTATCTTAGCATTTTCCCTTAGCCGCATCACATCTTGGATAAAATGAGACATGACGCATTCAGCTTGGATGTTAAAAACAAAACATGAGGCAGCTGAAGGGTTTAGTCATGGAACAGACCCACAATTTAACCCACTTTCTCTGTGTTCATCATGTCCGAGAGTATAGCAGCTCATAAAAACTGTGCAGAGGGTTATCTGGGATTATGAAAGGCACAAAATCACCTGAGATATTCTTATAAAATATAATCGCTTTTTAAGTTTATGCACTGATTAAGGCATCTTAGAGATTTTGTAGCTTGGCATTGAATGAAATGTAGTTGATGGCTGAAAGAAATAACATATGGAACACATTATTTCAGTTACTTGTAATGCTTATGCAAAATCACAGAATAATGTTATATCAATAAGAGATATGCCTGGAGTCTTGTGATCATGTACCGCTTTCCATAAAAGGTTATGCAAACAAACAAACTTTTCAGTAGAATGCTTGTTTCATTGTAGGCATTAGTGGTGATTATTTTTAAAATTATTTTTCAAAAATATCTTCTGTATGTAAGTGTGTTTACACAAGATTGGCTTTAGTATAAATGGACTGTTTTAACAGGCTGCAAGAGAAAATAATTAATGTCTTGGACAAGTATATTTTACACATGAGATTTTGAAATGTTAATTTTTAAAGTGCATTGGTATATGGAAGCAACATTTATTTTCACTAGCTTTTACTTTCTCTATCAGTATGATTTAGCTGTGCATAAATTATTTACTAGTCAGCTAAATGGTGGTATAATTTTTCACTGGTAAATCTAGCTAACTTTCAACTGGTAGAACTTAAAATACTTTTGGACATTATAGAACTTTATAAACAGTTGGATGACAATATAAAATTCACAAAGTAAATTTCTTTCAATGTTATAGGAAATTTGAAGTCTACATAATTTCTAATTTTCACAAATATGGCATTGTGCTATATGCTTACAAAAGATGATAATTGCAAAGTTACAGGGATACTATTTCACATGGATTAAAATCTGATGGATATTTTCCCCCAATATATTTACTTTTTTTCAACTCTTGATCATATTTCTCTGCTTTAACCTTTGTCATGATTTGAGTAGGTAATGAAAAACAAGAAGGAAAAACACCAACTGTGCAGTGCTAATTATGTGTTTATCCTTCATTCTAGCCTTGTATAAATAAGGAGTTCAGTTTAGTAATAATTCATGTGGTATTTTGTTTAACCTAGGGACTCTTAAAAGTCTTTATCATGTTGTAGTATAGATTTCCAGAGAAGTAAAACATAAATTATATATCTTATTTGTTCTCTTTATGGTAGCTCAAGTAAACTTGAATCAACATAGTCTTAGACACTGAAAGCATTTTAACTCATAACATTCTCTCTACTTTCTACTCCCACAGTATTTTATACTATTAATAATACTGCACCCATCACATGGCATTAATGGGCTATATGTGTATCTGTCTTTCATACCATAATAGGAGTTGCTTAAAGGCAGAATTGTGTCTCAATTATGTCTCCTTTGCTTCTAACGGAGGACCTCCTATAGAAGAGGGAGTCAGGAAACATATGTGGAATTAGATTGCATTATTCAAGCATTATAATTTTAGTCAGACATTCTATTTGTTTGATTCCAAGGATTAAAAAACTTCCTTTATCTGTACCTAAGAAATTATATCCAGATATTGTGAACATTACAATCAAGAATAGGATATTACATAAACAAATGAAAATACTGAAAAAGGAAATAACTGTATTTGGATATCTATATTTGCATCTACATACATTATAAATCTGCCTACATTTATATTTATATCTATATTTAATGTATGCATTTTGGATTTCAAAGTAAATACATTGGTTGATCACCATTGGTTATAAAATAGAGCTAAGTTTTAAAGAAATAATTGGTGCAATGTGTTTTGATCACAAAGGTAAAGCACATATTGTGTGCCATTTGTGCACAATTATGCAATGTTGTCCTGTTTCTCTGTTTCCAGTTGCTTATCACTCTAGTCCACTTTCCCACTATTCAGAGATATTCAGAGTTATATCTCTAAATGTAGCCCTGATGATGTCACTTCCTAACACTAGCTTTCTGACTAGGCATGGAAAAATCTTGATGATTTCATTATTGCCTATCTTCCTTTTCTCATTACTGGTAATTTACTATGTTATACTCTCTGCCTTTAGCCACACAAAACTCTGTAGTCCCCCAAACGAACCACACTATCTCAAGTCTGTGTGACTTTTCCCACTTATTCTTTCTGTCCAGAATGCCCTTTTCTGCCATTCCTCCTAGAAAACTCACATCAGCCTTAAATATTCAATTCAAACTCTACCCTGCCTAAGGCAGAATAATTAACAGCCTTTTCGGTGTAGTCACACTACATCCTGAACCTACTTCCATTTTTACATGTAGCAAGTTGTGTTTTAACATTTGTTTTCGCCTTTGTTCTGTCCTACTTCTATAGCCTTTGCAAGTAGGATTTATGTCTTTGTATCTTTCTTATCCCAGAACCAGGCATACCATCTGAGATATAGCAGGTGCTTAAAAAATATTTGTAGAACTAATTATCTTATTTAATTTTTACAACCACATATGTTTGCAGCTGAGGATGCTGAGGTCTAAAAAGTTTGAGTAACTTGCTCAAGGTTATACAGCTAGTGAATGGCAGATATCCAGTCTGGAGGCTTCTATGTATCTGCCTTTTATCCTAGGAATACCATAAAAGCCATTTATGTTCAGATCTATCCTTCTAGAAAATTGAGTATTTGTAGCTGCTCTGATGTAACCCATGTCTCTTTGATAATTTTTCTTCTGCTTTCTCCATGCCTATGAATACCTCACAACTACTTGAATTGGCTCAGTCTTGGCTCTTATCTTCCTTGTCTCTGGTTTGATGTATCTGACTTTCTTTGATCTTGGTTTAGATTATTCTATGATTTTTTTGGTCTGCTTTTTGGTTGGTTGTTTTTTTTGGTGACAAAGTCAAAGTATCTGCCTTGTATTGCTCTTCCTTAAAATTAGTCAGTCTTCCTAGGGGAACCTGCCAACATCCTTACTCTTATTTCCTATTTTCCATCCATCACCAGTGACTGTAGCTACACCAGGCATATTCTCTTTTAACTCCTCAGACTTTGACATGTTCAGGCAGAAGCCATTACAAGACATCAAGAAATATAATTTCTCAGGTGTGCCTAATGCTGTGATAAGAACTATTAATAATTCCCTTCACAGATGCTACTGAATACCAATATATGAAATGCTAATATTGTAATAAATAACATTTAAGAGAGTGAATTCCTTGTGAGATTTCACTTACATATAGACTACTATTTATTGTCAAAAGATTTTTAGCACTCGCCTCTTATCTTAGACCCAGGCTTTTACTTTCAGTTGCCTATAGCACATATCTTTTTAGATATTTACCTTAATTTTCCTTGCAAAATGTCTAAAACTGGATTTTTTTTAGCATATCCTCCAAACCAAACCTTTTTCTACTTCTCCATTTCTGTCAATAGTTCCTCCCCCGTTTTTTTTTTTTTTTTTTTTTTTTTTAAGTTTCATCATGTCTAAAAGCTATGTAGTTATCTCTGAGTATTTCCTCTCTTTCATCGACTAAGGGAACCAAGGCATCAAAGTATCAACATTGGTTGAATTTTTTTCATTCAAAATATCTCTCAGATCCAACAGTCCTTCAGCAACACCTTGTTCTAATACATCATCACCACATCCCACTTCCTGTCTCCTGTTTACATGCATCAAATAATCCTGTGTACTGCAGATAATTTTCCTAAGACACTACTTTTATTAAGCCATTACGCCTGCTACTGCCTATTTATTAAGACCAAGCTTCAACCTGATAATTGAGAATGCAGAGTGCCTTTCTTTCATGTTTCCTCTGCCAGATTTGCCCTTTTTTAGCTGTTTCCCCCATTTATCTGAGTAAACACTCATCCTTCAACAACCCACTTTAATGTCACCTCTTCTATGAAACCTTTTCTGAACTAATTAATCATTTCATCCTCTGTGTTTTATAGCATCCATCATATTATATTACAGTTTGCTGTTTATCTGTACTTTTTTGTACTTTTTGTTCTACTGTTGAGTTATTTAAGGTTAGGGCCTAGATTTCGCTGATATATTCATTCCTCAAATGCTGCACAATATCTGGCATAGAGTGGTAATTTAATACATATGTGTTAAATGAATGAATACATAAAATAATGGCAGTGTTATTTTATATGGTATTCATTCTACATATACTCATGTACATATACTCTACATTTACTCACATTTTCTTTACTTTTCTGAAATGCCTTTGTACTAGTCTCCAAAAATTCAAATGCAATATATTTTTGAAAATAGTTGAATACAAAATGATATACTTGATATTACTGTAACTATTTAAATGTGGGCACATATTCAACCACTCTAGGTAGTATCTACATTGAAGTGGTGGAATTTATGGTTACTGTTGACATTGAACTTATTTTAAACAGATTTTAAAGTCTCCATTTTGTTTTATTGTGCTGCTTTTTCAAAGTGTTAGGTCACTTATCATGGTGGCCTTAAAATATGATATAAAATGATAAGTGCCTGTTGAATATTCACCACAAACATTTCAACACGCATGTGTACACACTTACATACACATACACACCAAACTTTAAATTTCCTTCAAGAGTCAGATCAAATTTTACTTGTTCCTTTAAATGTTCCACAAATCATTCCATTTAACAGTATTTATATTAGTCTGTTCTCATGCTGCTAATAGAGACATATGTGAGACTGGGTAATTTATGAAGGAAAGAGATTTAATTGACTCACAGTTCCACATGGCTGGAGAGGTCTCACAAACATGGCGGAAGGCGAATGAGGAGCTGTCTTACATGGCGGCAGGCAAGTGAGCCTGTGCAGGGGAATTTCCATTTATAAAACCGTCAGATCTCATGAGACTTATTTACTATCAGGAGAACAGTTATGTAGGAAATAGCCCCCATGATTCAAGTATCTCCACCTGGCACCACCCTTGACATGTGGAGATTATTATAATCGAAGGTGAGATTTGGGTGGGGACACAGAGCCAAACCAAATCAGTGTTGTTTTTCTCAAAATCCCTTTAGCACATTCAGCCTGTAAGATAAAACTATTATTTCATTCACTATGGCCAAATATTCTGTTTTATCTCTTATCTCACATTAAAGCTAGGATTTCTTTATTTTTAAACTTTCATAGTTTCAGGTAGACAGTAGGCAATTAACCAATACTTAATCTTGCTGATATTGTTGATTTTGATGATGATGAGAGCCCCTGCCAGGGCTGACAAGCTAAGATCATTTCTCATTTTATAGTGACACAGGTCTTTATAAAAAATTAGCACCTTCTCTGCTGGAAACTCTTTGCAAGTCTGTTAAATTGAGTTTGCTTCTGGCTAGAATTTTCTTTTTTCCTCCTCAATTTAAGGTATTAGCTATTCTGGGCTTTGTGGGTGTTCTCCTGCCAGGCTTTTTTCTTTGTTCCCCCTCTCTCTTAATCCATTTATGCATATAAATATTGTTGTTTTTTTAATTACACAATATCGTTCTCTCCAACAAGGTAGACAGATAAATCGTTTGCTAATGATTTAACACTCGAAAACTTAAACACTGGTTATTGAAATTCTACTGACTAGGCAAGGTTTGTTTTTGTTTTCCTCCAGAAGCATGAGGCAGTAATATGATATATAATTCATATTTCTTTTAACAGGAAAGTTTTCTCTTTGGAATTTACTTTAGATTTTATTTTTTAAATTATATAGCCATTTACTTTATACCATTTAAAAATTACATCTCTAGCAAACCAAGGTATGTTTAGTAAATTTTAATATTGATCAATATGTATTTATTGTTATCAAATATTAAAATTAAGGTTTAAATAAAGCATCATTTTAAGTTCACTTTACCTGGTTGTTTTAGATCAGGTACTTGAATGGCTTGTAATAGAGCAGGCAATTGCTGTTTAAATGGCTAAATATTATTTTATCTTCATAATGGAATCACACTTTTAATTCGTATTTCTTATAAACAAAAGTGTTCATTGGTCAAGTTGAAGTATAATTATAATTTCATTATTTTTCCCATTAATTCAAATATCAGATAGTTTTCATCTACATTTTAAAATTGAATGAATAACAAGGTCGTATATGTGCTTAAAAATAACATTAAATTTTTTCTTTTGAAATTGATACATAATTTTTTCTTATTCTCTAAGACTATGCTATTTTTCTGAGATCTTAGTGTTGCTTTTCAGTGGACTTAAATGAACAATGTGAGTATTAATGTTATTAATCTTAAAATTTTAAAGCATAAGGTCTAATTCTACTCTTTTTAATTTGTCTGGAATTAGGAAATTGGTTTGAGAAGAAATATAGTATTTATGTCATATTTGTCATTTAATTCAGTCTAAGTTTGAACTTCTCATCTGTGGCCTCTTATGGTCTGGAGAAGCCCTCTGGGACTCAAAGCGTGATTTGATTCAGTCATTACCATATAATCCTCTTGGATGGAGCAAAGACCATTGCTGTGAAGCTCTTAGAGCAAGAGAGGACTGAAGAAGTTAAATATATGGGCCATAGACTATAAAACATAATCTATTAGAAAACAAACCCTACAGTATCTAGTCGGATACCTAATTAAATAATCAATTAAACATACTAAATCATTGAGCAAATGAGTATGAAAAAAATCTTTCTTTAAAGCCAGGTTTAAATTACCACACACATTTATGTCCAGTCAACAATTCTTTTCTTGGCGTATTTTTTCTCCATTTCCATTTCTTTAAATCCAGGATTGGTGCACTCTTAGCTTGAAATTACAACTCACTCAGAAATAACATGCTGTTTATCTGCTGGGCTCAAAACTAGGAGACACCAGGAGTGAGTTCAGAATTAGCTAGAGCAATTTAAGCGTTGGAGTCTTAATCTCTGTAATGATACTCCTTAGGTCACAACTATCTAGGGGCTATTTAGCCTTCTTTATATTTTGCAATTTCTTTTTTCTTACTCTCCTCCTTCAATGAAGGCAGGAGGCCAGGAAGACTACTAGCTGCCAGCATTTCTATTAACAAAAACCTAGCTGTTTCTTTAAAGCAGACTTTCTAAAACAAACAAACCAAAAAACAAAAACAGAGAAGTACTTTTTCCTTAGTTTATTTTTTAACATAGCAAATCAGCTTTCTCCAGAGCAAATACTAATGTCTCAACATGCAGAGAATGGAAGTCTTATGATTTTTCTATTTTCATTTCTTCATGGCAATGGATTATTAATACCTATTGATCTCTACTTTATGTCCACTATTTTGAATTCCCAAATAACACCCACCAGTATTCTAGCTTGATGTGAAGAGTGCCTTTTATTACTAGTTGTGGTCTCTTGAAATTTTTTCAGAAAATAAATGTGTGTGTGTGTGTGTGTGTGTGTGTGTTTTGTGTGAGTGTGTGAAGGGGACAGGAAGGGAGGGAAGGACAGGGAAAAAAAGAGCTGTTCAAATGTTACTAGAAATCATGGTATGAATAACAGAAGGTTAGTACTTCTTATATTTAACTTACCTAAAAGGTGATTTGGGACTGGAATTATAATGTTTACCCTTGTAAAATGCACAAATAAGTCTGCATCTTCTCATTGTTGTTATTGCCTGCCCATTGTCCACATTTGCTTTAGCCACTGTTAAAACACAGAGTTCACTGTTTTTATCTATTTAGGGACCAATGTAGTGTCCATTGATTTTGTTTCGTGGTGTGCTTAAGTCAACCACCTTCATTTTAGAGTAACTTAAGGAGCATTTTTATTGGGTTCACTTTAGAGTTGAGTCATGCCTTGGAAGACTGATGAACATCAGCAATTAAGTGACACACATTATGTTCATGTCATCATATACATATGTCTAACTATGAATCACCTATGATATTGCCCCGTCTGCTGTATTGCAGGAAAAGCAGAGGTTTCTGACCGATGTTCTGCATGAAGTGATGCTGCTGGACGGTTTGGCCAGTTCCCATCCAGTATCACAGGAAGTGCTGCAGGCAACAGATATTGACAGGGTGTTTGACTGGATCGCATATAAAAAGGTGGGAATAAAGAACAAAGTGCCAATTAGATATTTCATTACCAAGATAGCTAAACTAATTCATGTTAGATGTATGTATTTTTCTTTTTTTCCGGGCAGATAGACATAGACTGTGATTTAGAAAACAGAGTCACTAGGTTCGTGTCATTTTATGAGCTACAGCTTTGCTTTAAAAGTTGGCAAAATGGAGATTAATATTTGCCAAATAATGCATAGAAATATTGGAAATATTAATCAATAAATATTTGGAGACTCGATATGAAATTGCTCTACAAATGATGTTATGTAAATGTCAGTTTTTATTATTATTAATAAGAGGGCTGACCCATATAGTGACAAATTAATTTTCACCAATGCCCTTAAATACTAACTTATTTTGATGGGCTGATGCAAATGGATATAGGTAATGACATGATGCATGCATCTTATAAACATTATTTAAAAGAGATTTTGAAAATTAAACATTTCCTGAATAACTAAGCATAACAAAAGAAATTTTAAAATACTAGACTTTCAATGGCAACAAATAATTTTGAGCCAATGACTAGATATAAAAATAAGGCAAATATGAATTTTTCCCATTGTTACTTGGATTAGGATTTTTCTTTATATCTGTATCTCTTAGTTGTTCTAATTTTAACATGATGATGTGCCTCTTAGTGTTTTACATGCACTAGCCACTTAATAATAGTTAAAATAGGATCAAAGTCTGCTGTGATTTTTAGTGTAGGTTAAATTGCATTTGTTGGAATTTCTATGTACTTTTTTTTTCTTTTGAGATGGAGTCTCACTCTGTCGCCAGGCTGGAGTGCAGTGACGCCATCTTGGCTCACTGCAACCTTCACCTCCCGGGTTCAAGTGATTCTCCTGCCTTAGCCTCCTGAGTAGCTGGGACTGCAGGCATGTTCCACTATGCCTGGCTAATTTCTGTATTTTTAGTAGAGACAGGGTTTCACCATGTTGGCCAGGCTGGTCTCAAACTCCTGTTCTCAAGTAATCCACCCGCCTCTGCCTCCCAAAGTGCTGGGATTACAGGTTTGAGCCATGGCACCCAGCCTGGAATACTATTCTCGATACTCTGTGAGGGATAAAAAGATATCATGAATAACCGCATGGAAATAACTAGGAAGTTAGAAGTTATACCCTGAAGCATTTATTGTAGTGAACACACAAAAAATATTTTGGTTGGGTCCTGTTAGTCCTCCAACTTTGTTCTTTTTTTTTTTTTTTTTTTTTTTAAGTTTCTTTGGTCCTTTGCATATGAGTTTAAGAATGAGTTTGTAAACTCCTACAAAGATTATACTGGAATTGCAGGAAATGTGCATTATGTTTATAAAACAATTTGGGAGACTTGACATCTTAGCAATATTGACTGACCCATGAATACAGTATGCCTCCAGTTCCTTTAGGTCCCCTTTATTTCTATCAATGATGTAGTTCTCAGTGAATACATTTTTCATATTTTTTTTCAGATTTATCCCTAAGTATTTTACATTTCTGGGCTATTGTAAATAGTATTATTTTGAAATTTCATTTCTAATTTTTGTCTTGCTGTACATAGAATGCAATTCATTTTTGCATATTTTTCTGGTACAATGTTAAATAGAAGTGGTGAGAGCAAACCCTTGTGCTGTTCCTAATTTTAGAAGCAATACCTTCAGTCTTTATCCATTAGGTATGATGTCTCTAAATATTTATAAATGCCTTTTATCAGGTTGAAGATGTTGCATGCTATTTTGCCATTGCTAAAAGTTTTAATCAGAAATGGATGTTGACTCAATTCAATGCTTTTCTCCAGAATCTATCAAGATGGTTATATTTTTTTTGTTTTTTAGTTTGTTAATATGGTGAATTATAATGATTAATTTTTTAATGTTAGACTATCTTTGCATTCCTGAGACAAATGTCATTTAGTCCTAATATATTATCCTTTTTATAAATTGTTGGATTCAATTTGCTAAAAAAATGTTTAGAAATTTTGCATCTGGGCTAATGAGGGATATTAGTATGTAATTTTCTTTCTTGTAACGTCTTTCACCTTGTTGTCACTATAGTGCTAGCATCATGCAATGGAAACTATTATCTTTTTCAACTTTCTCGGAGAATTTGTATAAAATTTATATTATGTCTTTCTTGAATGTTTGTTAGAATTTACCAGTATAGCAGTAGGGACCTGAAATTTTCTTCCTGGGAAGGTTTTTAACTAATGATTTAATTTTGTTAATATATGGTGGGTTATTTATTTATTTTAATGCGAGCATTGGTAGTTTCTTTCTCACGCACTTCGCCCATTTCATCTAAAATGTTTACTTTATTGACATAAAGTTTTACAGGATATATTCCCTTATTATCCCTTTAATAACTGCAGCATCTCTAATCATATAACCTCTTTCATTCCAGATATTGGTAATTTGTGTATTATTCCTTTTTTTGTGATTTGTCTAGCTGGACATTTATAAATTTTATTGATCTCAAAAAGCATCCTTTGTTGTAATTGATTTTCTCTCTTGTTTTCTATTTCATAGATATGCTCTCTAATCAATATTTCCTTTTTCTACCTACTTTGAATTTAAATTCTTCTTTTCTCTACTTTCCTAAGGTAGAAGCTGAGGTCATTAACTTGAGACCTTTCTTCTGTTCCATTTTAAGCCTTTATTCAGTAAATTTTTTCCTAAGTGTACAACTTAGGAAATCTCCCAAATTTTGATATGTTGAAGTTTCATTTTCATTCACTTTAAGATACTTGCTAATTATCCATTTCATTTGTTAATTGCCTCGTGTCTTATTCAGAGTGTATTATTTAGATTACAAATATTAGAAGATTTTTCCAGAAAATTTTCTGTTATTCATTTCTTATTTAATTTTATTGTGGTCAGTGAATATACTCTGTATGTCTTGAATCTTCCTAGATTTATTATGGTTTATTTTATGGCCCATAAGTTGATATGTGTTGGTAAATGTACTGTATCCACTTCAAAAGAATATGTATTCCACTAGTGTTAGCTAGAGTGTTCTATAAATGCCAGTTAAGTGAGGTTGGTTGATAGAGTTGTTCGAGTGTTCTGTATCCTTATTGATTTTCTGTCCACTTATTCATCATGCTTTCTTGATGGGCCTTCATTGTGTGGATTCACTCACGTAGTACCAAATCAAACATCTAAAACTGTGGAGAAAAATAGTGACCCAGTTATCTGCTGGCATATCCGAAAAATAATTTTCAAATGTGAATATGGAGAAATGAGGGTTAAAACATTGAGGCTGAAATTTCAGGGACTTCATTTTCATAATCTCAGCATCAGGCCTTTATGTAAATTCAGTTTCTTAGCCTTGTTCTTTGATTTGGCTTCACTCAGTTTCTTCCTATAAGAAAACTAGTATGTGCATAATGAGTAATAACCAATTACTTTGTAAGTGGAACAAAGGTAAACTATGTTGGGTTTTGTAGGTTAAACCACATCATTCTGGGATGTATGACAGGTAATATAGATGATTCTGGAGACATAAATAATAACTGCTAACATTTATTACATGGATACTCTGTACTAGTCACCGAACTAAGATTTTTACATTTATTATATAATTTAATTCTTATAAGCATCTGATGGGGTTGTTATGATCATAATCCTCACTTTAAAGGTAAGTATGTTGAGTTATGGTAAATTCAAGGATATGTTTCCCAGAAAATCAGGTTCCAGAGCCAGTATTCTTAATTATTTTCATGTTTGATTAACAAGTTTGGCTGGAACATTTATTCCAAAATCATTTGATAAGCCTGTGCTTATGTTCTAGGCACTGTGTGCTGAGTAGAAGAGATATAACAATCAATAATACACAAAGGAGAGAAAACATATAAATAAACCAGTGCAGTAACATATGAGTGTTATCCAGCAATATTTCCATATTAAATGTTGACACCTACCTGAAGTCATCTTAAGCCATTTATTCAATCTTGTTGACTAAATAATGGGTAAATTTGATATGTAGTATTAACTTTCAGAATAGTTGAATTACGTATTTACAGTATCATCAGAAATCTACCTTTCTTCAGTTTATTGAATCTCTTTCTCTATCTGACTTAATTTCTAGATGATCCTTAAGATATGCTAAGACTCATCTCATACGGGCCTCAATCTTGTGACCCTAATGAGCTCAGAGAAGGAGTAAATTGACTCCCATCCAATAGAAGCTATATCTGTTTCCCCAAAGGGCTATGATTTGTTTTGATTAGGAAATAGATTATTACTGGCCAATCCTTGTGTCCACAGGGATGGGGTATTCTGACTGGTCAGTGAAGGTCATGAGCTCATCCTCTGTGATGTGAGACAAAAGTCCCAGAGTGGGTAGGCCCCCTGGGATCACTCAAAGTAGAGGAGGAGCAATTTCTGAAAGAAAATGATCAGTAGAAAAAAGTAATGGATGCCACCTCAGAATCTAAGGAGTTATGACAGAAATATATACAAGATACAGTCACGAGACAGGGGAGTAGAGGGGAACTGTAAAAAAACAAGAAAATCATTCTTTAGAGGAAGCTCAGAAAAGAAAACTGGTGATTAAGTGGAACATCAAAGAGTTAAACATGATCATAGCAGAATGTGAATTCTGGGTAGCAGATAGGCTGGAAGAATAAGCTGGATATGAACTTGGAAGACATTTCCTTTCTCACTAAGAAAATTTTTTTTTTTTTTTTTTGAGACAGTCTCGCTCTGTCGCTCAGGCTGGAGTGCAGTGGCATGATCTCAGCTCACTGTAACCTCTGCCTCCCGGGTTCAAGTGATTCTTCTGCCTCAGCCTCCTGAGCAGCTGGGACTATGGGTGCCCACCACCACGACTGGCTAATTCTTGTATTTTTAGTAGAGACGAGGTTTCACCATATTGGCCAGGCTGGTCTTGAACTCCTGACCTCATGATCTGCCTGCCTCAGCCTCCCAAAGTGCTGGGATTACAGGCGTGAGCCACTGCTCCCAGACAGAAATTTGTATTTTATCCAACAGGTCAGATAGAACCAAGAAGAGTTTAAAGCAGAGGAGTCAGATAATTAAAATTGCATTCCTAAAAGAATATTCCTGTAGATGTAGAGATGGAGTTAATATTGATAGATCTGGAAAATTCAGGAAAGATTGTAGAGACTGGAGTTGTATAATGTATCACTTATATTTTGAAATGTTGTATGTAACACAATAATTTCTTGCCACTGCTCTTCTGTGTTCTTCTCCCTAAAGATCTCTGTTACTAGTCAACATTAACCTCTGCCAACAGTCAACCCCTCATTGCATCAGTGTTTTGCTAGCTTATCATCTCTTGTAATTATTTCCTTAATAATTATTCTGATTATTCCCAGTTCTGTTTTTTGTTATTCTCCCTGAATAATAATTATAATACACTTTAAATAGCTTTTTATAAAGAAATGTATTATAACGGGACAGAAGATTATAAAAAAATAAAGGTTAGGAACCAATAGACCAGCTACTAATTTGGGATTGAATTTAAGAGCTGACTGCCTTTGAAGAAATACTGAGTAATGTTCAATATGGATAGTCCCAAGACCATTATTAAAAGAATAAAAAACTCCTAAAATTGCAAGCATTTTTTAGAGTGGGAAGAGAAAAACATGAAAACTACTCTATTTAACAAATTAGATCTGGTGAAATAACAAGTTTCCCATTTTAATAGTAGATTGAAAATGCTTGTATTCTTAAAGTGTAATGGAAGCAGGAAAATACTGTCCATAGACAGGAAGGACTGGAATAGATGGATTGAGACAGTCTCTTTGTTCTAAAAGCACAAAGGAAACAAGAATCAGTGACCCAATGACCTAGATGATGAAAGTGAGTGAATGCTCATTAAATTTACATATGATGCCAAGGTGGAGAGGGTTGCTACAAGCTTGGAAGAGAAGAACAGGGTTCAAAATAACTTCAATTTTAAAGGGGATCCTTTACAAGCAGGAACACTTTTTCAGCAATTCTTATGTCGTGGTTAGTATATCTGTACACCAAACAAAATTACATAGAATAAAAGGTAAGAGAATTAGCAAGTGAAAAAATCTTCAAGGGATCATTGGGGACATAAATTTTTTAAAAAGTGATTGTGGTAGAAATTTAACTTGCTGCGCTTTGCCAATATATTCCACACCTTATATTTGAAAATCCTTTGACCAACAGAAGTCAACATGTGAAATTTCTATCATCTCTAGAAATGAATAGGAAAGGCCAATCATCCATTTGTATCTATCACCCCTTGTAATACCAGGCTCCCCATCCACAACATCATGTCAGTCAGATGATGATTAATGCACAGAGAGAGCACTATTAACGCTACACACAGTATGCCTTATTTCTGCAAGGGGGAAAAAAGATGATGCCTTTCTTCAACAATGCAACCCAGCCGGGCATGATGGCTCATGCCTGTAATCCCAGCACTTTGAGAGGCTGAGATGGAAGGACTGCTTGAGCCCAGGAGTTCAACTCAAGTCTGGTGAACATAGTGAGACTCTGTCTCTACAAAACATTCAAACATTTTTTTTTAAATTAGCTAGGCATCATGGTGCATGTCTCTAGTTCCAGCTATTCAGAAAGTTGATGGAGGAGGAATGCTTGGGTCTGGGAGTTAGAGGCTACAGTGAGCTATAATAGATCTCCTGCACTCCAGCCTGGACAAGAGAGCAAAATCCTATTTCAAACAAACAAACAAACAAACAAACAAAACAAGAAAAGAATGCAACCCAATAGAAGACATAAAACACATGAAATAAAAATAGTGATTATCCTATGAGTACTACAAAAGCATGTCTATCATTTAATGATCACTTACTATGTACAATGTATTTTGTGAAATGTTTTGCATGTATTATCCCATTTATTCCTGACAGAAAACTTGGCATGCAGGCATTTTTAACTCATTTTACTGACGAGAAAACTGACACTTGGGTACTTAAGTGATTGCCACAGCATCAGATATTTAGCAAATAAACATTTCAGGATTTGATGTCAGATATATCTAAATTTGAATCCTGAGCTCTTATCTACAAAGTCTTTCACAAATAAATATATTTCAAGGCAAGTTATGATATGGACCATCTCAGTGGATGGCAACTCCAAGCTCCCAGGCTACCCTTGATCCTGCCATCCAGAGACAAGGATATCTTGTCTCTGCTATCAGAGTATTTCCAGAATCTAACCTCTTCTCATCCCTGTCACTGTTGCCACCAGATAAGGTTTGAATTTGTGTCCTCAACCAAATATCATGTCAAATTATAATGCCCATTGTTGGAGAAGGGGCCTGGTGGGAGGTGATTGGATCATGGGGGCAGATTTCCCCCTTGCTGTTCTCCTGATAGTGAGTGAGTTCTCATGAGATCTGGCTGTTAAATATGTATACCACCTCACCCTACTCTCTTCTTCCTCTTGCTCAAGCCTTGTAAGATATGCCTCCTTCCTCTTTGCCTTCCACTGTGTTTGTAAGTTTCCTGAGGCCTCCCAACCCATGCTTCCTGTACAGCCTGCAAAACTGTGAGCCAATTAAACCTCTTTTCTTTATGAACTACACAGTCTTAGGTAATTCTTTATAGCAATGTGAGAACTAATACAGAAAATTGGCACCAGGAGTGGGGCATTGCTGTAAAGATACCTGAAAATATGGAAGCAACTTTGGAACTGGATAATGGGCAGAGGTTGAAACAGTTTGGAGGGCTCAGAAGAAGACAGGAAGACGTGGGAAAGTTTGGAACTCACTAGAGACTTTTTGAATGATTTTGACCAAAATGCTGATATTGATATGAACAGAGATGGCCAGGCTGATGAGTTCTCAGATGGAGATGGGAACTTATTTTGAACTTTGAACTTGAGCGTGATGGTTTATGGTATCTGGCGGAAGAAATTTCTAAGCAACAAGTCATTCAAGATGTAGCCTGGCTGTTTCTAATAGTGTGTTCTCATATGTGTGAGATGATCTGAAATTGTATGAAACTGGAACTTAAATTTAAAAGGGAAGCAGAGTGTAAAAGTTTGGAAAATTCATAGCCTGGCCATGTGATAGAAAAGAAAAACCCATTTTCGGGGAGGAATTCAAGTGGGTTGTAGAAATGTGCATAAGAAGAGCTGAATGTCAATAGCCAAGACAATGGGGAAAAATGCCTTGAAGGCATTTTAGAGATCTTTTAGCAGCTCCTCCCATCATAGGCCTGGAGACCTAGGAGGGAAGCATGGTTTCATGGGCCATGCCCATAGCCCTGCTGCTCTGTGCAGTCTTGGGACATGGCACCCTGCATTGTGGCTGCCCTAGCTCCAGCAGTGGCTAAAAGGGGCCAAGGTATAGCTTGGGTCATAGCTTCAGAGGGTGTAAGCCATAACTCTTGGTGGCTTCCATGTGGTGTTAAGCCTGTGGGTGCAAAGAGGACAAGAGTTGAGGCTTGGGAGCCTACACCTAGATTTCAGAGGATGTGTGAAAATGCCTGGGTGTCCAGGTGGAAATCTGCTGCAGGGGCAGAGCCCTCATAGAGAATCTCTACTAGGGCAGTGTGGAGGGGAAATGTGGGGTTAGAGCCCCCACACAGAATCCCCTCTGGGATATTGCCAAGTGGGGCTGTGAGAAGAGGGCTACCATCCTCCAGACCCTAGAATTATAGATCCATTAACAGCTTGCAGCGTGTACCTAGAAAGCCACAAACACTCAATGCCAGACCTTGAGAGCAGCCATGGGAACTGAGCCCCCAAAGCTACAGGGGCAGAGCTGCCTAAGGCCTTGGGAACCTAACCCTTGGATTAGTGTGAGCTGGATGTAAGACATGGAGTCAAAGGAGGATATTCTGGAGTTTTAAGATTTAATCACTGCCCTGCTGGGTTTCAGACTTACATGGGGCCTGTAGTCCCTTTGTTTCAGCCAATTTCTCCCTTTTGGAATGGGAGTATTTACCCAATGCCTGTATCCCCATTCTATCTTGGAAGTAACTAACTTGTTTGGATTTTATAGGCTTATAGGTGGAAGAGGTTTGCCTTATCTCAGATGAGACTTTGGATTGTGGACTTTTGAGTTAATGCTGGAATGAGTTAAGACTTTAGGGGACTGCTGGGAAAGCATGATTGTATTTGCGATGGGAGAAGGACATGAAATCTCATTTTAAATTGCAATCCCCAGTGTTGGAGGAGGGCCTGGTGGAAGGTGATTGAATCATGGGGGTGGATTTCCCCCTTGCTGTTCTCATGATAGTGAATGAGTTCTCATGAGATCTGGCTGTTTAAATGTGTGTAGCACCTCCCCCTGCTCTTTTCTTCCTTCTGCTCCAGCCATGTAAGATGTGCCTCCTTCCTCTTTGCCTTCTGTTATGATTGTAAGTTTCCTGAGGCCTCCACAGCCATGCTTCCTGTACAGCCTATGGAACTGTGAGCCAATTAAACCTCTTTTCTTTAAATTTTCTAAATTACCCAGGTTCAGGTAGTTCTTTATAGCAATGCGAGAATAGACTAATATACCACCCCAGTCTGAATCAGCACCATTTTGCCAGAATCATTTTCTGCAACATCTCTCTGCTTTTAATCCTGTTCTCCTACAGCCTATCTTTATCAAGCATTCAGAGTGATGTTTATAAAACCTGTGTCATATTGTGCCAGTTCTTTGCTGAAAATTCCATAATAACCACCGCACCCCCCCGCACACACAAAATGATAATAAAAGACACAGTCTTGACCCACAAATCCCTTCCTGATCTCTACTCATTCTATTCTCCCCAGGTACTTATAGACCCCTGACTCTTATTTTATTTCTTATCTATCTGAATTCTTCTCTATTACTCTCCCTAAACTCATGGTGCTACTGTTCTACCAGCTCCCTTGTTTTCCCTGAGCTCTACCAAACTCCTTCCCACATGAGGGCCTTTGAATTGGCCTTTCTCGTTGTAGGAAAAATGTTACTCCACATAGTGTCATGGTCCCAGCTTGCTCTCCTTGAAACCTTTACTTAAATGTCACCTTCTCAAGAAGACCTCCCATTTAAAATGGGAATTGACACCTTCAGTCTTTTTCCCACTCATTTTTCTTAATCTGATCCTATTATGTTTACTATATTGTTTGACTTTCCACTTTCCCCCATTGAATGTGAGCTTCATAAAGGCAGAGATCTATGTCTAGGTTTATCACTAATGTATCTCCAATACCTATTATACTGCCTGTGTGCAGTAAGCACTCTAATAAGTATTTGTTGAGTTAAATTAAAGTAAATGTCAGAAAAACAATATAAACAAAACATTCTGGTGTTTCAGAGGGAAAGATCCCATCTGTTTATAGGAATTAGGAAAAAGAGTTGGCTCTTGAAATAGGATTAAGGAGTTTCCAAGGTAATTCCATATGAATTCCAGAGGGGAAAGAAAGATTGTGTTGCCCAGTCATTTAGTTTTCTAATGGGTTTCATCACATGTGACCTGACCCCTCAGCCCTGGACCTCATGGGACCCCCTTCTGTGAGCTCAGCTACTCTCCTGCTGTCTCTTCCCTCTCCTGCCTCAGGCACAATTAGCCTCCTGTTCTGCAAGTCTTCCTGGCTCTTATTTTTCTAAACAGGTCCTTCTTAGACTTTGCTTTCCCTACTCACAGCGAATCAGTTACATATATACTAACAAATGAATATAATAGATCACTATTTTGTGATACTCTTTAGATATTCTACAGTATCTGGTATATTACATTTATTGATTAAATATAACACCTGTGGTCATTTCTGTAAAATGGTTGGACAATAGGCTTTTAGTGTGCTATATGATGGCAATAATAGGCGATAATAGTATCAGCTACTTTTTGCCACTGGACATCCACTTATTTAATCTCCCACACTTGTAACATATAAGGTATAAATTATTATCTTCAATTTAGTAAATAGAGGCCTAGGAAGTTTAATGATGTGCTCCAGCTCCTAAGTGTCAGACATGGGATTCACATCTTATTGTTTCTAACTCATGCTTTTCATTCTGCCAGGATTCTTGTCTATTGTGCCATTGTTTAAATAGAAAATATGATTTGGGTTTTCATTCCATGAATGAAAAAAAATGTCTTATTTAGAAGTAAGTAACATACTAGCATGCATATAAAAAATAAAGGTTGTAAAATCTGAGAAGTATAAGCACTGGTTATGATCATCTCATAAGGAAAATGTGAACAAGCTTGGGACTGAAAAAATTAGGCAAAGGAGAAAAAGCCAGAAAAAGAAGGGAGAAAGAGAGATTGATTTTGGAACATTTGGAGATAAAGCCTATAGAAAAGGCTAAAGAACTTACATATGTCCACCCTGGAGGATAGAGGGCTAAGAGGTGACTTAATAATTGGCTCTAATATGTGAATGGTCGTTATGGGAAGGCTGCTCACCATTTCTCTGTCAACATCAAGGTCAGAGTAAGATAGATGGACTTAAATTACAGGAAGAAATTTCAGTTAATATAAGAAAGAACTTCTTGACATAAAAGGCAATTAAACATTTTAATATGAAGTACTTAGGCTTGTGAAATCTTCATTCTTTGATATTCTTTAGAAATAAAATTTAAAATGTGCTCCCAAATTAATAAATTAAATTGGAGAACTACTGAAAAAATTCCTCCTGAATATTAACTTCACGTTACATAATAGTCAGATAATATAAAATTTACAGCTTATCAGAAATTAATTTTGTATTTGCATATTTATGTTTGTATCATTAAATTTCTTTTTGTTATAAATATAGAAGTGTGAGTGGTTTAGAAAAGAACTACTAGCTTCTTAGGTAAACAGAAAAAATTTAAAAATAATTCCCATCTGTCTCTGAGTGGTCTACTGATACCTATTAAACATCATCAAAATAATTTCTAGATATATTTTTGTTATTCCTTTTCTTTGTTACCAGACTTTGCTTTTGAAGCTAAATCAACATTATACTGGACCAGCAGCAATTTTAAGTCATTCTGTAAAGAAAATACCTATTTGCCTTCATAAAGAAAATGTACATGGTGGGAGGAGATAGTTTTATTGATATTTTTGTGATAAATGCCTTTACCACTTACTGGTAAATTATTAACTTGTGCATTTTGCTGATGGAGGCAAGTTTTCCTTTGCACACATATTTCACCGATTCATCATCATTTAATGGTTTCTTTTTATTTTTTCCTGTGCGAACCTTAACACTTAAAACAGCTAGTTTTCATACTAGAAACTTGCACTTCTCCCCATTATATGTCCATCTCTGATTTGGCATTTACTTGGTGAGACTGAAAGAAAAAGTCTGTATTTAATAAAAATAGGTAGCAGGTTATTGAATAGAGTAAGGAATAGATTAATCCTATTCAAAGGATTCTTGTTATCCTCTCTTGTCCCTCTTTGTGTCACATTGTATTGTTGTTAACTAATGGTTTAGATAGCTACTTTTGAATTCCTCTGTTGCACACAGTTTCTGTCTTTTTTACTTTGCTGAAAAGCTTAAGAAGGTGCAATGTTGGTTTTGACTCTATTCTTCTGCTTTCTTACGCTGGCTTTGTGAGAGCCAAAGTGGTGATCTCATGATATGAGAAGCTTACGGGTCAGAGCCATGTAACCCTTAGCTTGCAAAACTTGGCTGTAGTGAGATTCTGCTTTCACGGCTTTCAGAAATACTTCTACAGCTACAGTTGTTCTTGTCTTCTGCTTATGCAAAAAGCTTAGTTCTAATGACTTTTGCAGTGGGTTTATTTATGCTAGACTTCATCAGTAGTCATAATGAAAAATAAAAAGTTAGTATTTCAGTTAGTATAAATGGAATATATAATATATAATTATTATTATATAATTATAACTATATAATATATATTATATAATATGTTATAATTATATAATTATAATATATTATATAGTTATAATTATATAATAATAATATATTATATAGTTATAATTATATTATATATAATATATATGATTATATATATTCATATATAATCATATATAATATAATATATAATCATATAATAATCATATATAATCATATATATAATTATATATAATCATATATATCATATTATCATATATAATCATATATAATATATAATATAAATGGTAATATAGATTTTTTATAGATTTTTCAGATTGACAGAATTCTATAGTACTTAGAAAGGAATAAATTAAGATGTAAAGGATAAATAAGCAGGCAACTATAATCAAGGGTTGACATTTTGATAAATGAGAAGTATACAGGAAGGAAAAGGAGACTAGGAATAAAAATTCCTATTTACAGAAAGAACACTTGGAGAAAATTCAGAATAAACATATTTAGAATATAAGTAGTGTTTGTACATCTAACAATATTGAAGGAGGTTGAACTGAATTGATCTTTCCTATGGAATAATTGTGAATGAATTGTGTTTTGGCATTTGAGGAATGACTTTTAATCAGCATAACCACACACCAATTGTTAATCAACCATATATGGTATGTTAATGAAATATAAACATCTTCAAAAGCCCTATACAGTTACCAATGTTACACATAATGTTCAGAAGCATTAGTACACCGTTGTTTTTACCATTGAGGTCACCTTTTATCACTATTTCCTTTTCGTGTGGACCTAAATATTATCTCAGTTCATTATAAAAATTGTATTTTTGAAATATTTAAGAATTCAGGGCTTTATTAATTAAAGACATATATAAACCTCAATCAGAGTTTCAGCTTCAAACAGATTAAACTATGTTGCTCCACAGGGCAGATACAATTCTAGTCGAACAACAAAGACACCCTTTCTCTTTGGCCCAAGTATTATTTTCTCAGGTAAATATGTTATTTCCTTGGAAATGATGAAATTGTTTCTTTGGACATACTCTCCCAGATGTTTTTATGGATTCTTTCGTGGGAGGCTAAGGACCATTTGAGGACCTACTGAGAAAATTATCTAGAGACTACATGTTGTCTATATTTATTGTCATTCATGCTGTTGCATATTTCCTAGGAGAACCAAAATCAAGTCGTTGATTTCTGTGCTTTTAAAAGTAGAATGTCTTTCAGCTTTTTCTGAGTTAATTTTGAATCAGTATTAGGAGGCTTAACTGTGATTTCATACAACATACTGTTACCTTGAAGACACAGAGATTTTTTTTTAAAAGTACAAAATCTGGCTTTTGTCTTAAAGGCATTTTCCCAAGCAGGAGAGTTTAAGCACGATTTTTAAGGTTTCACAGAGGTAAGAAAATAAGACAAAGCCGAAGGTGAGAAGTTTAATGGGAGGCCTCCCATAAAGCCAGGACCTTAAAGAGTTACACCTTAGCACACAGATGAACTAGAAATAAACCTATCCCCATCCTCAGGGGACTACAAAGAAATTACCTGTTCCAAACTTTGGCAGCAAGTAAAAACGGAAAGAAAATTTCTCCTGAAAATTTGCAACTACAAGCAACCTTTGACTGGCATCGGATCTCAGATGAAAACCATCTTGGTACACTGTGAACCTCAGGCCAGGATTTAATTTAAAATGGCTGGTCCTGGACTAGAAGGTATCCCCAGACACCATACAGACACTAAAACATATCCTTTCTAGAAAAGCCCAACTTCATATCTCATCTCAAAAGATTTCCACAGATAAATCTCAAGGAAAAAAACCAATTTACAGTCAAAAATCACCAGTCACATGAAGAAACAAGTTTCCACGAATATGAGACAGCAGAAACAATTAAGAGAAGAATCATTTGTGCATATGACTAAGACACTGGATGCATGACTTAGACCATAAAATAATATATTAATAAATTTGAGGAAATAAAAAGAGACATTATAAGCAAAATGTAAGCAGACATAAAGAACAGTGAGAATTCTTAGAAATGAAAATGAAATAAGAATATAGTAAATATGACAGATAAGTTCATCACAGATTAAAAAAGAGCTAAAGAGAGAATTATAACCTAAATGGTAGAACTGAAGATACTGTGTATTCAAGAGTTATGCAGGAGACATAAAGATGTATAGAAAAGGCAGTGAGAATTGGTAACACATGGATTCAAGCCTTAACTACACTTACTTTTTCTTTTTTTTTTTAATTTATTATTATTTTACTTTAAGTTTCAGGGTACATGTGCACAATGTGCAGGTTAGTTACACATGTATACATGTGCCATGCTGGTGCGCTGCACCCACTAAATCGTCATCTAGCATTAGGTATATCTCCTAATGCTATCCCTCCCCCCTCCCCCCACCCCAGAACAGTCCCCAGAGTGTGATGTTCCCCTTCCTGTGTCCATGTGTTCTCATTGTTCAATTCCCACCTATGAGTGAGAATATGTGGTGTTTGGTTTTTTGTTCTTGCGATAGTTTACTGAGAATGATGATTTCCAATTTCATCCATGTCCCTACAAAGGACATGAACTCATCATTTTCTATGGCTGCATAGTATTCCATGGTGTATATGTGCCACATTTTCTTAATCCAGTCTATCATTGTTGGATATTTGGGTTGGTTCCAAGTCTTTGCTATTGTGAATAGTGCTGCAATAAACATACGTGTGCATGTGTCTTTATAGCAGCATGATTTATAGTCCTTTGGGTATATACCCAGTAATGGGATGGCTGGGTCAAATGGTATTTCTAGTTCTAGATCCCTGAGGAATTGCCACACTGACTTCCACAATGGTTGAACTAGTTTACAGTCCCACCAACAGTGTAAAAGTGTTCCTATTTCTCCACATCCTCTCCAGCACCTGTTGTTTCCTGACTTTTTAATGATTGCCATTCTAACTGGTGTGAGATGGTATCTCATTGTGGTTTTGATTTGCATTTCTCTGATGGCCAGTGATGGTGAGCATTTTTTCATGTGTTTTTTGGCTGCATAAATGTCTTCTTTTGAGAAGTGTCTGTTCATGTCCTTTGCTCACTTTTTGATGGGGATGTCTGTTTGTTTTTTTTGTAAATTTGTTTGACTTCATTGTAGATTCTAGATATTAGCCCTTTGTCAGATGAGTAGGTTGCGAAAATTTTCTCCCATGTTGTAGGTTGTCTGTTCACTCTGATTGGTAGTTTCTTTTGCTGTGCAGAAGCTCTTTAGTTTAATTAGATCCCATTTGTCAATTTTGGCTTTTGTTGCCATTGCTTTTGGTGTTTTAGACATGAAGTCCTTGCCCATGCCTATGTCCTAAATGGTAATGCCTAGGTTTTCTTCTAGGGTTTTTATGGTTTTAGGTCTAATGTTTAAGTGTTTAATCCATCTTGAATTGATTTTTGTATAAGGTGTAAGGAAGGGATCCAGTTTCAGCTTTCTACATATGGCTAGCCAGTTTTCCCAGCACCATTTATTAAATAGGGAATCCTTTCCCCATTGCTTGTTTTTCTCAGGTTTGTCAAAGATCAGATAGTTGTAGATATGTGGCGCTATTTCTGAGGGCTCTGTTCTGTTCCATTGATCTATATCTCTGTTTTGGTACCAGTACCATGCTGTTTTGGTTACTGTAGCCTTGTGTAGTATAGTTTGAAGTCAGGTAGCGTGATGCCTCCAGCTTTGTTCTTTTGGCTTAGGATTAACTTGGCGATGCGGGCTCTTTTTTGGTTCCATATGAACTTTAAAGTAGTTTTTTCCAATTCTGTGAAGAAAGTCATTGGTAGCTTGATGGGGATGGCATTGAATCTGTAAATTACCTTGGGCAGTATGGCCATATTCATGGTATTGATTCTTCCTACCCATGAGCATGGAATGTTCTTCCATTTGTTTGTATCCTCTTTTATTTCATTGAGCAGTGGTTTATAGTTCTTCTTGAAGAGGTCCTTCACATCCCTTGTAAGTTCAATTCCTAGGTATTTTATTCTCTTTGAAGCAATTGTGAATGGGAATTCACTCATGATTTGGCTCTCTGTTTGTCTGTTATTGGTGTATAAGAATGCTTGTGATTTTTGTACATTGATTTTGTATCCTGAGACTTTGCTGAAGTTGCTTATCAGCTTAAGGAGACTTTGGGCTGAGACAATGGGGTTTTCTAGATATACAATCATGTTGTCTGCAAACAGGGATAATTTGACTTCCTCTTTTCCTAATTGAATACCCTTTATTTCCTTCTCCTGCCTAATTGCCCTGGCCAGAACTTCCAACACTATGTTGAATAGGAGTGGTGAGAGAGGGCATCCCTGTCTTGTGCCAGTTTTCAAAGGGAATGCTTCCAGTTTTTGCCCATTCAGTATGATATTGGCTGTGGGTCTGTCATAGATAGCTCTTATTATTTTGAGATACGTCCCATCAATACCTAATTTATTGAGAGTTTTTAGCATGAAGCGTTGTTGAATTTTGTCAAAGGCCTTTTCTGCATCTATTGAGATAATCATGTGGTTTTTGTCTTTGGTTCTGTTTATATGCGGATTACATTTATTGATTTGCATATATTGAACCAGCCTTGCATCCCAGGGATGAAGCCCACTTGATCATGGTGGATAAGCTTTTTGATGTGCTGCTGGATTCAGTTTGCCAGTATTTTATTGAGTATTTTGGCATCAATGTTCATCAAGGATATTGGTCTAAAATTCTCTTTTTTGGTTGTGTCTCTGCCAGGCTTTGGTATCAGGATGATGCTGGCCTCATAAAATGAGTTAGGGAGGATTCCCTCTTTTTCTATTGATTGGAATAGTTTCAGAAGGAATGGTACCAGTTCCTCCTTGTACCTCTGGTAGAATTTGGCTGTGAATCCATCTGGTCCTGGACTCTTTTTGGTTGGTAAGCTATTGATTATTGCCACAATTTCAGCTCCTGTTATTGGTCTATTCAGAGATTCAACTTCTTCCTGGTTTAGTCTTGGGAGAGTGCATGTGTCGAGGAATTTATCCATTTCTTCTAGATTTTCTAGTTTATTTGCATAGAGGTGTTTGTAGTATTCTCTGATGGTAGTTTGTATTTCTGTGGGATCGGTGGTGATATCCCCTTTATCATTTTTTATTGCGTCTGTTTGATTCTTCTCTCTTTTTTTCTTTATTAGTCTTGCTAGCGGTCTATCAGTTTTGTTGATCCTTTCAAAAAACCAGCTCCTGGATTCATTAATTTTTTGAAGGGTTTTTTGTGTCTCTATGTCCTTCAGTTCTGCTCTGATTTTAGTTATTTCTTGCCTTCTGCTAGCTTTTGAATGTGTTTGCTGTTGCTTTTCTAGTTCTTTTAATTGTGATGTTAGGGTGTCAATTTTGGATCTTTCCTGCTTTCTCTTGTGGGCATTTAGTGCTATAAATTTCCCTCTACACACTGCTTTGAATGCGTCCCAGAGATTCTGGTATGTTGTGTCTTTGTTCTCATTGGTTTCAAAGAACATCTTTATTTCTGCCTTCATTTCATTATGTACCCAGTTGTCATTCAGGAGCAGGTTGTTCAGTTTCCATGTAATTGAGCGGTTTTGAGTGAGATTCTTAATCCTGAGTTCTAGTTTGATTGCACTGTGGTCTGAGAGATAGTTTGTTATAATTTCTGTTCTTTTACGTTTGCTGAGGAGAGCTTTACTTCCAAGTATGTGGTCAATTTTAGAATAGGTGTGGTGTGGTGCTGAAAAAAATGTATATTCTGTTGATTTGGGGTGGAGAGTACTGTAGATGTCTATTAGGTCTGCTTGGTGCAGAGCTGAGTTCAATTCCTGGGTATCCTTGTTGACTTTCTGTCTCATTGATCTGTCTAATGTTGACAGTGGGGTGTTAAAGTCTCCCATTATTAATGTGTGGGAGTCTAAGTCTCTTTGTAGGTCACTCAGGACTTGCTTTATGAATCTGGGTGCTCCTGTATTGGGTGCATATATATTTAGGATAGTTAGCTCTTATTGTTGAATTGATTCCTTTACCATTATGTAATGGCGTTCTTTGTCTCTTTTGATCTTTGTTGGTTTAAAGTCTGTTTTATCAGAGACTAGGATTGCAACCCCTGCCTTTTTTAGTTTTCCATTTGCTTGGTAGATCTTCCTCCATCCTTTTATTTTGAGCCTGTGTGTGTCTCTGCATGTGAGATGGGTTTCCTGAATACAGCACACTGATGGGTCTTGACTCTTTATCCAATTTCCCAGTCTGTGTCTTTTAATTGGAGCATTTAGTCCATTTACATTTAAAGTTAATATTGTTATGTGTGAATTTGATCCTGTCATTATGATGTTAGCTGGTTATTTTGCTCGTTAGTTGATGCAGTTTCTTCCTAGCCTCGATGGTCTTTACATTTTGGCATGATTTTGCAGCGGCTGGTACTGGTCGTTCCTTTCCATGTTTAGTGCTTCCTTCAGGAGCTCTTTTAGGGCAGGCCTGGTGGTGACAGAATCTCTCAGCATTTGCTTGTCTGTAAAGTATTTTATTTCTCCTTCACTTATGAAGCTTAGTTTGGCTGGATATGAAATTCTGGGTTGAAAATTCTTTTCTTTAAGAATGTTGAATATTGGCCCCCACTCTCTTCTGGCTGGTAGAGTTTCTGCCGAGAGATCTGCTGTTAGTCTGATGGGCTTCCCTTTGTGGGTAACCCAACCTTTCCCTCTGGCTGCCCTTAACATTTTTTCCTTCATTTCAACTTTGGTGAATCTGACAATTATGTGTCTTGGAGTTGCTCTTCTCGAGGAGTATCTTTGTGGCGTTCTCTGTATTTCCTGAATCTGAATGTTGGCCTGCCTTGCTAGGTTGGGGAAGTTCTCCTGGATAATATCCTGCAGAGTGTTTTCCAACTTGGTTCCATTCTCCCCGTCACTTTCAGGTCACCAATCAGATGTAGATTTGGTCTTTTCACATAGTCCCATATTTCTTGGCGGCTTTACTCATTTCTTTTTATTCTTTTTTCTCTAAACTTCCTTTCTCACTTCGTTTCATTCATTTCATCTTCCATCGCTGAACCCTTTCTTCCAGTTGATCGCATCGGCTCCTGAGGCTTCTGCATTCTTCACGTAGTTCTCGAGCCTTGGTTTTCAGCTCCATCAGCTCCTTTAAGCACTTCTGTGTATTGGTTATTCTAGTTATACATTCTTCTAAACTTTTTTCAAAGTTTTAAACTTCTTTGCCTTTGGTTTGAATGTCCTCCAGTAGCTCGGAGTAATTTGATCATCTGAAGCCTTCCTCTCTCAGCTCGTCAAAGTCATTCTCCGTCCAGCTTTATTCCATTGCTGGTGAGGAACTGCGTTCCTTTGGAGGAGGAGAGGTGCTCTGCTTTTTAGAGTTTCCAGTTTTTCTGTTCTGTTTTTTCCCCATCTTTGTGGTTTTATCTACTTTTGGTCTTTGATGATGGTGATGTACAGATGGGTTTTTGGTGTGGATGTCCTTTCTGTTTGTTAGTTTTCCTTCTAACAGACAGGACCCTCAGCTGCAGGTCTGTTGGAGTACCTGGCCCTGTGAGGTGTCAGTCTGCTGCTAGGGGGTGCCTCCCAGTGAGGCTGTTTGGGGGTCAGGGGTCAGGGACCCACTTCAGGAGGCAGTCTGCCCGTTCTCAGATGTCCAGCTGTGTGCTGGGAGAACCACTGCTCTCTTCAAAGCTGTCAGACAGGGACACTTAAGTCTGCAGAGGTTACTGCTGTCTTTTTGTTTGTCTGTGCCCTGCCCCCAGAGGTGGAGCCTACAGAGGCAGGCAGGCCTCCTTGAGCTGTGGTGGGCTCCACCCAGTTCCAGCTTCCCTGCTGCTTTGTTTACCTAAGCAAGCCTGGGCAATGGCGGGCGCCCCTCCCCCAGTCTCGCTGCTGCCTTGCAGTTTGATCTCAGACTGCTGTGCTAGCAATCAGCGAGACTCCGTGGGCGTAAGACCCTCCGAGCCAGGTGCGGGATATAATCTCGTGGTGCGCCATTTTTTAAGCCCGTCGGAAAAGCGCAGTATTCGGGTGGGAGTGACCTGATTTTCCAGGTGCCGACCGTCACGCCTTTCTTTGACTAGGAAAGGGAACTCCCTGACCCTTTGCGCTTCCTGAGTGAGGCAATGCCTCGCCCTGCTTCTGCTTGCGCACGGTGCGCGCACCCACTGACCTGCGCCCACTCTCTGGCACTCCCTAGTGAGATGAACCCGGTACCTCAGATGGAAATGCAGAAATCACCTGGCTTCTGTGTTGCTCACGCTGGGAGCTGTAGACTGGAGCTGTTCCTATTCGGCCATCTTCTTCACTTACTTTTTCAATCCTTTGTTTCTTTACCAAATTATAGCTTCTTAGCATCAGAAAATTTTTGCCTGAAACAGTGACATCTTTTTTAGAAATGGAGCTCTGGGTTCGATCTAAGTCTTAAAGTAATAAGGTTCACGCATCAACATAGCACAATTTTATCATCTATATTCTCTTTTATTACCGTATTAAAAGCTTGAATGAGATAAAACTGGTATTAACTTAAAATTATACTTTTTTCACATTAACTGTTATTTATTCAGTGTTAGCTATGTTCCCAGAGTTTTACCAGATATCATGCAATTTAAACTTTAAGCTGAAAGATAGTTAAATTATTTGGCCCAGACTCATAATAGCTCGTGAGTAGCAGAACCAACATTTCAGCTCAACCTTCCTGAATCCAAATTCTGCCCTGTGTGTGATTGCCTGATCATATAGTCAAGTAGGTATTGACTTTCACAGCAGAGAATACTATACATGTATCCAAATAATTTTTCCTTTCATCTGACCATTTATTTCTTCCCTTTTTGGAAATAACTTTCAGATGCAATTTCATTCTTTCCTACAAAACCAGTCTCATGATTTCATAATTCCCAAAGAGTCTACCTTGATGAGATACTTTAATTTGCATTGCCTCCCTTCTCTTCAATCCCTATTTTACCCTATTTAGTATTTCCTGGCTTACCCTCTGAATTTGAGCCAACAGCATAAGGAGCTCAGAAAAGCGCTATGCCAAGGCTATCTTGGAGCTCAGAGACCCTGAGTGGAGATGAGCATGGTGTAGAGGGGAGAGTGTGAGTCGCAGCAATTCTGAGAAACATGGTTTGGCTTCTACAGAGTAGAGCACATCCAAGCAAACCAACTTGTGTCGTTTAGTTGTGTGCTGCCTCTCTGCTGTCATTTTACAATAGGATGCAGTTAGCTCAGTGCCATAAAAATATCTGGCTTAAAGTAGAGAATTTTTGGTATGTATTCCCCTGGTAAGTACTATAAGCCCAAGTAAAGCATGACCAACCAGCTGAATATCTGTGTTTTGCTTACATATTCCCCAAACTGTTTTCCAGCTCCACGATTTTAAGATGAAATGTGCAAACATTTATTGCCACATAATTTTCCTTCTGGAAGGGGGTCTGTCACAGCAGGAACCTTGCTACTAAATTGGAGCCGTTGAAACTATTTCAGTAGTCAAATTTGTTAAGAGTAAAAGCAAGAGTTTTAAGTGCTGTCTAATGCCTAAAAATGTTTTTCCAGTTTGAAATGAGTGTGGTGGTAGGGTTAGGGAAAAGTTAGCATGTTTTGAGATAGTTACGTCTGAAATAATAACCTCAGTTAACATGTATATAATACTATGTACCAGATACTTTTGTGTATGTTTTTTACGTATATTAAGTCATTTAATTCTTACAGCAGTCACATGCTGTATTACTACTCTTTCCATCTCCATTTTACAGATGAGGACACTGAGGCAGTAACTTGCCCAGCATTGCAGTTAGTAAATGGTGGAGTCAGGATTCAAACACTGGCCATTCTGTCTGTGCTCTTAGTCACCTACACCAGACTGCTTAACCTTTGATTTCTTTTTATGTTTATAGAGCACCTTACCCATAAAACATGAAGAGACACTCATTTCTTTTTCAGTAGAGTTATTATATTTTGTAATTATTTACATCTATCTGTATGTCCTTTTAAATTAAAGTTTTTAGAAACATCCTAGTTATCACCTAGTGCAGTGACTGGCAGATAGTGAGCAACAACTAATACTTATAGTTCAGGATTTACAATGAATTTAACAGTCATTAATCCTGCTCTCCAAGCCCACAGAAGCTTTAAAGTAGTCTTGCAAATTGAATTTCTAATTGCTTCAGATTACTAACAGCAATGAGTTTTGATTTTTTTTATTGTTAAACATCTAGCTTGGAAAGAAAAATAAACATGGCTCTGTGCTATGAAGCAATATCATACTTTATTAATAAGTGTTCCTCTTAACTTTTTAAGAGTTTAGTTTGAACTAGTCACATCTCTTCTGAAAAATACTGGAGAATAAAACTTCTTTAGTTTGCTCTAAATTACTTTCCTCAAGCACCAAGTGATAATCCCTTTTTCTGGTGTCCTGTGATGCCTTCTATAAACCCGATGGAGAATTTAGGAACATGCAGAGCATGCCCCTCACCTCTGAAATGAAGATCATGGAGAGTAATGAACATACCTGCCTCTCCACATCCCCTGATGCATTTGTCAGCTCACAGTCTGACGGACCATTGATCTGCCCCTTTATGGCAGTTTTGTTCCTAATTCCACTTTTGTTTACTTTAAGAGCTAAATCTTTCACCATTTTCCACTTCTGCTTGAGAAAACATTTTTATAGCTTTGAGACCAAATGTTTTTTATCACCTTATTTTAATGTCTCTTATCAGTGACCCTGTTGTAGGCAGAAGCCATGATGTTGCTGGTGGATTACATGAGAAACTTGTCGCAAGTAAAATAGAACACCGTTTCTTTTTCCTGAAGAATAAGGATATAAGAGTAACTTGCTTTTTTTTTCTTTCTTACATTTGCTCTGTGTTAAATCATAAGAAAGTTAAGTTACTTTTAATTGTTTTAAAATGAAAAGGTGCTAGATTACCAGGTATTAGGGTGTTTATTTCTTCTAGGCTCCTGTTAGTAGCAACTGTCAATATTTCTTCTTTTGGTTAATAGGAAAAGAATGGAAGAAAGCTAGAAGTAGAAACTTGCTGCCACATACAAAAAGCTAAAGTTTGGAGAGGCCATAACTGGACCTGTGATGTGGATGTTTGCTTAGAGAGTGTTAAATGCTTACTTATAGGTTCCTAGGGTAAAGGGCATTGTTTATTTTTACATACATATCTTGAGAAATTTTATTTTATAAAGGTCGTGCTTTCCAAAATGTAATTTGTGGAATGCCAGTTCTACAATATGTTTTATAAAAATTATTTTCTTACCTTTAACTCAGATATTGAAACTTCAGATTGCATTGATTTAGCTTAATGGCATTACACAAAACTGCACCTTCAATGAAAACCTTAAACAATGAATTTCTTACATGGGCTTGCTGAATACACTCTAATAAGACTGTATTTGCTTGTCTTGACATAAAAACTTGGGCTGATTCTGCTCGTGATACACCACTGTCAGAAGAGTTTGCTTTGTGATAAATGGCTTGTTTTAGTTCCCTGGACGATATGTTTTTGAGTTTTGAAATTCTCCAGGGACAGAATACATCTGTGCTTTGCCACTCTGAAAACAAAAAGCAGAAGCCGGAAGTGAAAGCTGTCCTGTTTTACAAGCTGGGATGGTGATGATTATTTACCTCACTGATGGACTTCTAGATTTTATCAAGTCCTCAATACTAACCTGGTCTCCATTATCCTCTGCTGTGCACAGCATCCACACTGAAGTTGTGACTTCTGCCTTTTTGGAAGAAAAGCAAAGAAAGAAATCATCCATTTCTCAATGATATACATGAAGAGGCTAATTTATTTTTTTGAGAACAGCTGAAGGTGGTTTGATGAAACTTTAATCAGCGCATTTTATCCTCTCCGTAAACTCTCCCTGAAGTCAGAATAGCAGAAAGGGAGATAGAGAAAACCTTACTCAAGCAATTATTTCCCTTATCCTGCAAATATTGGTAGAGTAAAATAATTTTCTTAGCTTCCAGAAAATCGTTCATATCATGTATGAGTAAATTCAACAGTGAAGATTACAAAGTGTCTTTCAGTTACCAAGCCCATGCCCTAGACAAGATTTTTTTTCTTGCTTCTCTACATATATATGAGTGATAAAACAAGGTGCAGATCTCAATTGGTCCATTTCCTTTGCAGATTAATTGGTATGATGGAAACATCAGTTATGCTGGTATTCACTTGTAATACATATTTTATTTATTATGGATCTAGCAGGATGGTAAATTCAGTTTTATAGCACAGTGGAGTTTGAGAAGCATGGCTTTATTCAATATTGTTCTTGAACTCAGTGATGGCCCATCTGTGTAAATAATCTCATCAGCCTCTTATGCGAGCCCATCCTTGAAGATTTCCTCATATGGATGCTTAATGAGAAAGTATACTATGCTTTTGTCCTTGTCTGTCGTGTCAGAACACATGAGATGTTCACCACAACTGCTAAATAAAGCTTCTACTATAAGAGGAGGCCCCGCAACACTTTGTCTGAAAGAGGAAGCAGCTTATGTATCCTGGTCTTCAAGGAAAACAGACAATCCTGGGCACACATGAAGGGCACAGTTATTTATGGTTATGTCTAGTGAATCCTTTTCATGTGGAAAGTATGCCTGAAATTCCAGAGAACTGACCTCCAAGACTCGTGTCCTTGACTTAAATTTCCTTAATTTTCCATGGAATCTTTTAACACCTGTTCTCAATGATGCATTTATCCATCCAAGACAAAGCTTATACTAAGACATATTTGAATCTGGAGTTTCTGAATTAGATGAACAAGCTATAGATGTTTACACAAATTACCCTGTGAACAAAAGTGTACTCTTATTTACTTCAATTTAATGGTATTTTAAAAAGTCACTTGAACATATTCGTGGTTAGGAAAAATGGTTTTGAAAAGCTAGAATCTCCATTTAAAATAAGAATAAAATAACTTTGTCCTTTAGATATGTGCATTGTTTTTAAATTTTAAAATATTCTATTTTGAAGTCAAAACCCAGTTTTAATTTTTTCCCAAGGTTTATCATTTCTAAAAATATCAAGTCTTTTAAAACTAAATAATATATTATGATGAGATATTTAATAGTAATTGGATTATTAATCTAATTAAAAATCAAATTAAAAGATTGTGCCTGGTATATCCTAGGATGACATTATTGAAATTTATACTTAAATTTGTTTGCCTTTACCATATATAATCACAAGAAGCCTTGAAATACTATACTAGACTTCTCATGTTTTGTGTGTGGTTTGTGTGTGTGTGTGTGTGTGTGTGTGTGTGTGTGAGAGAGAGAGAGAGAGAGAGAAAGTTGGTGATTTTTCGGCTATTCACTTCTTTTCAGTATCAGTGAGCTATGGTAGGAACCAGTTTGGGAGCAGCTGTTTGATTGTGGAAAGTCTTTACAGAGAAAGTTATTCTACTTTCTTGCAGATCAATACTTAAATTTTTAATACAAAAAGAAAATATAGTTTATTCAACTACTTTTTGAAAAACAATCTACATATACCATTAGTGATTAATGCCAAATAGTAAGGCTTTCATGGTTTAAGGAACACTTTCTGCCTTTCGTATTTCTGTTTCAGTCATTTTTTTCCCCTGCGGTCGTTATTTAACTCCCAGTGTAGTTGAGAATCAGCTGACCATATCTACTTCATATAAAACTTTTGTACATTTGAAAATTATTCTTAAGTGTTTGATTGGCCTCCATTTTTCCAGAAAAAAATTATATCTAGTTTTTAAAACATTTTATCTTATCTATGGATTTTTTCTGCTGTCCTCTGACATTTTTACCTATAACCTTTTTCAGCACATAGTTATTGCAAATCACGTTCAATATAATGTGTTTGCTGCATGATAGTTTATATCCCAATATCATGTCCATTCTGAACAGTTTCAGGATACTCGGGAGCAAATACATGTATTCTACTGTTGTTTGACTGGATTGATTTCTTTACACATTTTTCAGATAATTTATTGCTAAAGTCCTTTTTCTTAGCCACTCACACAATAACAATTGTTTACTTTTTGTCAGCTTTTGGTAGAAGATTTAGAAATATTACCTTAAGACTCCAGCTTCTTTGGGCTTGGTTATTAAGCTCGTAATTGATATTTTATGTTGTTGGGATGACTGTACTTTCTAAATGTTTTGTTGATGACAAGTCATAATTCACAATTATTCTGTAAACATAAATATGCAAAGATATTTTCTCAAATACTGTAAAATCATTTCTTCATACCCTGCAAACAAATTTTCTCTGGCAACAAAAGGATTACACAAAAGTGCCTGTCCTCTGCCATAGTTCATCCTTTACTAAATGTCACTTTCATTAAGGATATACTTGGTTATGTTTCAGCTGAATGTAGAGTGAGTGAGGTGTGTCTGCACAAGGATATCTGAGTTTTGTAGCCATGTGTCTTTATGACTTTGATATAATACCAAAATGAACTTTTATGATTCTGAATTACAATTTAATGATTAAGTGGATGAGATTAAGAAAAATGATGAAGATACATATATTAAGAGTATTCGGGAAAATCAATAAAAGGGAATTGTAAGTTTGGGAATCAGAAAAGAGGAGTCAATGTAAATCAGTAGTAAATTCTGCATCTAGTTTTAAACAATTATTTTCTTGACATCTATACTTGGGTTGTTTCTAGAAAACAGAAGAAATATTTACCAAGGATTAGTCTTTGTCTCAAATAATGCTGCTCTTATGCTTATTTAGTGTTTTATTTTTTCCTATCATTTCTTACTAATATTTTGCACATTAGTGCAGTTACTCAGTTATCTAGTTTAACAGGTATGTGTTGAATGTCTAGCCATGAAGCAAAATACTGGGTTTTGCAGAGCATGGCTCCTCCATTCCTGATTCCTAATGGTATGGCAAGTATGTGTTACGTGTAAATTCTCAAATAAGACAGATTGTTCTATTTCCTAAGTTATTTATCAAAAACAAGTGCTATAAAATTGTGAAAACAGTTTTAATTTTGACATGAATTGGGAAAGATTTCTTAGAAATATGGGATACTACAGTTATGTCGCATAAAGAATTCGATTTAGGGCAATTGTGGAATTTCAGGCATGGAGAACGTATACAAAAATAAGGATAATGGGAAGTACAGAATCTGTTTCAGGGACCAGAAGAAATGGCCATCAGAGGCAGGGGACCAGACAGATAACTCTTTTCGCAGTCTCTCAAAAGGGAATATTATTGGGAATGATAGTAAGAGGAGTTAAAAAAAAAAAAAAGACAAAATAAGCCAGAGTCTGAGGGAGAGATTACGAAGAAGAGACAGATTCAAGAAAATATTATTTTCGTAAGAATCACATTCCCATTATTTTTTCTTATTTTAATATGTTAAAAATATGAAAGGACTGACATATGCTATATGTATTTTATACACATCAATATTATATACATCAACATACACAATAAAATATTAGAAAAGAAAAACTAGAAAAAGTATGAATTTCATCATGTAACTAAATGTGCTTTAAACTACTTTATGAATAACTTTCAAATATTCAAGTATTTGGCATTTTGTTGCAAAAGTGAATGTTTACATTATTCATAAAATATGTGGCATAATAAATAACTTTTTAAAGGCTAACACTATGCTCAACTTTCAGACAAAATATCTGACACTAAAACTTTATAAAACTAATATATATCGTTTTTTGCATGATAAACCACATTTACTTAAGTTGCTACCATTCAGCCAATTCCAGCCATGCTTCTTTAAGATTATGCCATCTTTTATATTAGATGGAAATTGGGAAAGTATTTTGTATTCAAAATGTACCTAAAATCTAATTTGTAATAATTCTGTTAAGTATTTTATTTGTGACGTTTTCTGGCACAATATTATGCAAGCATCTTTTAAAAGCCTTGTTTATTTAGTACCTTTGAAATGCCTTCTTCACTAACATTAATCACGTATTTTTCTTAATACTCTAGATTTCATATTCTTTCTAGCTGTGATAGTTTAACTCTGACAAGGAACAATTCTACAATAAATGACAAGAATACTATTTGTTGCCTGATATTAAAAACACAAATGATGTTGTCTTCGTGTAGTTATTCTACAGCCTGTTACTCACAAGTTCTGAACTGAATTTAGAACTGAAAAATATTTAGATTTTTTACAAACAAATAGTGTTTTCTGAGCTTCTTTTTTTTTTGAGACGGAGTCTCGCTTTGTCCTCAGCTCACTGCAACCTCCACCTGCCGGGTTCAAGTAATTCTCCTGCCTCATCCTCCTGAGTAGCTAGGATTATAGGAGTGTACCACCAAGCCTGGCTAATTTTTGTATTTTTAGTGGAGACGGGGTTTCACCATGTTGTTCAGGCTGGTCTCGAACTCCTGATCTCGTGACCCCCCGCCTCTGCCTCCCAAAGTGCTGGGATTACAGGTGTGAGCCACTGCACAGGCCCTTCTTAAAACAACATTAAATTAGTTTTACTCATTCAATGCTGTTATTAGTTTGGGGCATTTTAGTCTTCCATTGGATTCAGAAATAAACAAAATAAAGATTTTTAGCACTTTTAAACCATTGCTTTGCTAATACCTTTATACTTTAACGATGATTATAATATATTCACTAATAATTTTATTCTTAAAATAAAATTATTATTCATTAGATCTTCATTGTTTAAAAGTTACCTCGAGTGTCTCACTAAATTTAACTTATTTCATTTTTCCTCTGTCAGATAATTTTATTTTAAATAAAAACCAAAAAATTAAACTATAGGACTAAAATACTCTTAGAAGGCTCTGGAGATAGATCATGGTGCTTAAGCCAAGAAGAGTAAGAAATTTATATAAAATATGACTGAACTAAATGAGATTAATTATAAGGTGTTGCAGGTTAGCAATTTTCCCAGAGACTCCTGTTGGTTATTTTTAAATAAAAATCTCAACCGAGAAATTTTTAAACATACAGAGGATATTGCCAGATATACATATACTCAAGACCCAAAGTCAGCAGTTATTATTATTTTGTTTGATGTATTTACATATGACTTGTTTTAAAGAATAAAACATTGAAGTCCTCTAATCCCTTTCTTAACCCCCTGTCCCTCCCTCTATTCCCAGAGGTAATCATTAAAGAGACATAACTCTTATTCATATTTTAATACTCAGACCTCTATTTTATTTATCTTTGCTGCTATACAATATGTAAAAAGCACAGTTTATAAATCCATCCCCCTATTCACAGGCTGACGTTTGTTTGAAGTTTTTGTCTATTATACACTACTGAAATTAGAATTAGAAATTAGAAACAGTGTTGCAAATGACCTCTTTCTACATGTGTCCTTGTGTTCATATGTGAGTGTTGGTCGTTCTGTGTATCCAGGTAGAGAAATTGTGGGGTTGGGAGGTACATGCATCCGCATTTCCCAACTCAATTTATCATTCTTCCACACACCTAATGCCTACTTCTTTTTTCTTAGTGTTCACATTCTGTTATCCCTCCTCACTCTCATCTGATTACTCTGCTTTTATTTCACTAAAATATTAGAAGCAATAAACAAATCAATGTTCTTACGCCTCCAACCCTGTGCATCTCACCTATCAATTCCTGTATACTCTGCTTCCCTTGCTATTTGTCACAGTGAATGAAGGTCTGTACTATGATATAGGCCAATGCCTCCACTCTGTACCGGACTCCATCCTCTTGTCTACTCTAGGATGTTGGTCACGTTGAGCTGTTTCTTGTCTTTTGAAACATCCATTTTTCCTTCTCTACTCAATTATTCTTCCCTCTGTAGAATGTTAAAATATTTTGATCCTGGTAAAAATTCCCTTGACTTACTCCACCCAGACTATTTTTATATCTTTACACTCTTAGAGCAAAAGCCTGATTTCTCTCTTCTCTTTTTCTTTTAAAATCCCCCAATTAAGCTTTCATTCTTATCATTTACTCAAACTTTTCTTGTCAACTCAAAAATTAATTCCATGTTGCAAAATCCAGTCTGCATGGTAGCTGACTTGCTTTCTTAAGCACACTTTGTAATGATCATTTTACGTTTGAAACACTTTCTTCATTTTGTTTCCTAGAAGCTTTTTTTTTTTTTTTTTTTTTTTAACTTTAACCAGCTCATTGGCCATTTCTTTTTCATCTCTTTGAGGAACTTAATTACTTTTCTCAACCTCTAAATACTGGAACTCCCAGGACCTATTCTTCAGGTTTTTTTTTTTCTTTTTTTGTCTTCTTCATCTATTCTTGCTCTCTGTGGGAGCCTGGGACTTCTAGCCCTACTTTCTCTCCAGACTTCTAGATTTCAAAATCCGGTTATGCTTGTTCTCTCTGCCTGGAATGTTCTTCCTCAGTCATCAACATGGCTTGCTTCTTCATTTGATTCCTTTCTCTGCTCCATGTCAATTTATTAAAGAAATCTTTCCTGATTATCTTACCTAACATATGAGAGCCTATTCTCCAGCACACTCTATCCCCTAACCCTGCTTTATTTATTTTCAAAGCAATAATGGGTATTTGATATTATTGTTGTTTCTTTGTTTACTAACTGCCTCTTTTGTCTAGAATATAAACTGCATGAAAGCTTTATTTGGTTTGTTCTCTGCATCATTTTCAGACCCTATCAAAGTGCCTTACACAGCAGGCACTCAATAATTGTTTGTTAAATGCACAAATAAACTAATCTTAACATTTATTTTAGCATAACATTTTCTTCCCCAAAGCATTTGTACCTATGTACACACTCCCACCAGAGAGTTTGAGAACATCCTGTTTTCTCACATCCTCATCTGTGCTTATTATTGCTAAATTCTCAAAATTTTGTCTGGTCAGTGGCTAGGAAATGCTTTCTTATTGTTTTAATTTATACTTATTTGTTTGTTAATGAGATTAAATGTTTTTCATGTATTTATTGCCGTTTGGGTTGCTTACTTTTTGAATTTTCTATTTATATCCATTGCCCATTTTCCAATGGGGTCTTTGTTTTTTAATCTGTTTTCCTATTCATTTTAATAATTAATTAATGAGAGTTGCTTTTTGTTTGCATTCTGGATACTAATCTTTCATTGCTAATAGTACTGCAGCTTGTCTGTGAATTTATGATGTCTTTTATCATATAGATTTTAAAGTTCAGATGTAGTCTGTACATTTTCTCCTTTATACTTCATACTTTTTGTTTTGTTTTGCTTAAGTATCCTCCTTTATCCCAAATTCATAAAGATGTGCTTTTTTTCATTTTCTCCTAATATTTTTAAAGTTTTGCATTGTATATTGAGTTCTGTAATCATCCATTTGGGTATTTTTTGGTGATATTTCTTCGTTGATGTTGTGCTGTCCAATGTAATTTAATTTTAGTTTAGGTAACAAATCATTCTAGTGTGATTTACTGAATTCCCTGCTCTTATTCTGCTGGTATCACATACCATCTCTGTCAGCTATCACAGATATCAGTATTGGTATATCTGCAGTCCCTTGATCTGGTCCCTAGTTTATATGTTTATTTCTGCTCCAACATTACTGTCATAGGGCTAACCACTACAACTTTATAGTTTTGTTATTGAAAGAGATGATTCACCATCTTTTTCTATTTCAAAATTGCTGTTGTTTACTCTTTGCTAATCCATGTGAATTTTCAGATCAAGACAATTTCTGTGAAAAAGAAATTATTTTGAGAAGTTTGCAGGTTAATTTTAGGATATTTGACATTTTTGCAGTAACTTTTTCTAGCTTTCTAAAGAATATAGTTCTTCATTTTTACATCCTTGTGTGTTTGGTTAAGTTCTATAATTTTCTCCATGAAAACTCTGTACAATTTTGAAATTTTTCTTGTTTTGTTTTATAATATTTGTTTGTACTTTTCCTTTTGAGAATAAGACTCAATAAATTAATTCCTTAAATTCAATTTTAGTAACACATATTCTTTTTATTTTATTCATTAATCTCATGTCAGAGATTAACTTAATGAATAAATAATCTCTTTGCTATACTCTTTTATTGATTTTATATATTGCTTCTATATATTCTTTTAGATTTCTGTGAGAACTTTCACATCATCTTTGAATTATGATAATTTACTGCTTTATTTTTTAAATTTCATTCGTTCATTTTATTATACTTTTGAATAGAAATATTAGTAGAGTGAATTCTTATTTTCAACTTTAAGAAGAATGCATCTCATGTTTCACTATTGAGTGTATTTTTTAAAGATTGCCTTTATTGTTAATGGTCCCCTTCTTTTCCTAGTTTATTAAGATATCTTATTATTTTGAATAAGAATGAATGAATGCTAAGTAATATTAAATGGTTTTCCTACATTTGAGATGATTAAACAATTTGTCTCCACTATTAATGCAATTAATTATAATATGTTTGCTATTAAACAATTATTAAATTTCTGGAATGAATTCTACTTAAATATTTTCTCTCTCTTCATAGAATCTATATTATATATAGATTATATTATTTATTGTATTATCACATATAATATATATTAACTTGTCTTTATATTAGTCTATATTATATATGTGGTATTTATCCCATCAATTATGTATATATTTGCATACATGATCATATGAAGGATATTGGACTATATTTTACATTGTCCAGTTTGCATATCAGTTACACAGCATCATAGAAATTGTTGAAAAGCTTGTACTCATTTTCAATTCCTTTATAGTACTTTATCTAAAACAAGGGTAATATGTGACAGTGTTTCCTTAAAAGTTTATTTGCCTGTAAAACTGTCCTGGATTGGTATATGTGTTTGTTGTTGTTTGTTTTTGGTGTATTTCTTATTTTTAAACCATTACTTCTTCTTTAGTGACATTATGATTTTAGAGAAAATTCTTTTTTTTTTTGTTTGAGATGGAGTTTTGCTCTTGTCACCCAGGCTGGAACGCAGTGGCGTGATCTCAGCTCACTGCAAGCTCGGTCTCCCAGGTTCAAGCTATTCTCCTGCCTCAGCCTCCAGAGTAGCTGGAACTACAGGTGTGCACCACCACACCCAGCTAATTTTTGTATTTTTAGTAGAGATGGGGTTTCACCATGTTGGCCAAGATGTTCTCGATTTCCTGACCTTGTGATCTGCCCACCCTGGACTCCCAAAGTGCTGGGATTACAGGCGTGAGCCACCATGCCCAGCTGAAAATTATTTCTTCTAATCTGAGTTTTCATATTTATTAGTATATGTTTCTAGAATATTCTTATTTTAGTTTTAAAAACTTTTTTCTGTAGCTATGTGCCCATTTTTAGTATTTGCATTATTTTATTCTCCTTTTCTTCTTTTTTACCTCTATTACTTTCTTTCTCGGAGCTTTGCTATTTTATTAGTTTTTTCATGGACTCTTTATGTTTTATTTTTCATCTTCTCAACCATTTCTTTGTTTTCTATTTGTTTTTTTTTTTTTTTGCTTTTATGTTTTATCCTTCTATGTACATTCATTTAATGGGACAGTATTGTTATGCTTCAAATTTCTTGAGTTGAATGCTTTCATGCAAATGCTATTTCCTACACTGTTGAAAGTTTTTGTTTTTTTGTCTCTGATATCTGTGATCCTCTTTGAATACTTTTTGGTCTCATATTATCTTGAATATAGACTACCCTGTTTGAATGCCATTACCTGAGAATACTGAAAAAACATACGGCCTCAGTGAAAGATATATGCTGAATTTCATGGCAGAGGAGATTGATGAGTACCTGGGTATAGGCTGCAATCTCATAGTCTGGATTGCTGATTTGAAACTAGGAAGGAGTTGGTGGATACTTCTTTTAGCCAGGATCATGTTTCATTTGCAATGGAAAAGTTATATCATCAACAACTAACAGATATGCCAACGGTTAGTTTAAATAATCTAGTTAAAGGAGATTAATGTAGTTAAATGACCTACATGTAGTTGTGAGAAGGAGACAAAGTCATGTGAAACAATTAGCTAGTGATTTAAAATAATTTGACAAATTGCTTAGTTCAGACTTAAATAATTTATGACTGTGGAGGAGAGAAAAACATTGAGAACTAACATAGTTGTGGAAAGTTTCTTATCTTTGTTTTCTTGTTGCTGGTATCTATGGTCCTCCTTGAATACCTTTTTGGTCTCCTATTATCTTGAGTATAGACCACCCAGTTTGAATGCCATTGCCTGAGAATGCTCAAAGAATGTACGGTCCCAGTGAAAGATATATGCTGAATTTCTTGACAGGGGAGATTGACTACTGTGTACTCAATTTTGGGGGGCAGGGAGCTAGCATAAAAAGATGATATTGATGATGATGAAGATAACAATACCTACATACATTTTTGAAGTTTATTATATACCAAACACTGTACCAAGTACTTTATATGAATAATTTAAATTAATTCTAAGAAAAATTTTGATGGAAATATTATTATCATTATCATTATTATTAATGGTGGCAGTATAGCTGTGTGGACTATACTATGGTATGGGCTTTTCCTGTGCTTTTAATAATGTATAGAGCTCAGAATATAGGATCACAAAGGATTAACATTGCAACTGATATAAATAAGCATGATTAAAACATAAGTGTGTAAGGAATGCTCATGGGATAATGGGAAGAAGAGCTTAACCAGTGTAGAAGCTGATTATCTGGTCACATGGAAAAAAGCATTGGTAAGTAGTGGTGAATCTCATTATGTATGGCCTTTATTACTACCACAGGACTTTTTTTTAAAGTAGAGATTTGGGGGGCAGGGGACTAACATAAAAATGATGATAGTGATGATGAAGATGATATCAATACCTATATACTTTTTAAACCTTATTATATGCTAAACACTGAGTATCTAGTGCTTTATAATAATTTAAATGAATTCTCAGAAAAATTTTGAAATAGGTGTTCTTATTATTAAAGGTAGTAATATAGTTGTCATCATCATTTTTATTGTTATGTTCTAATTGTAGATACTTAGATCATCTCACATGCCTAAGTACATGACAGAACCAGGACTCTTAGCAGACATTATGCTTCTAAAATAATTATTAAAATTAGTCTGATGTGGCCCATAGGATGGATTCCTGAGGGTGAGAACCCATCTGGGGTTGTCTCTAGGAGACAGTGAAATAATTCAGCTATGCAGAGGTAGAGGCTTGGCCTCAGGAAGTAATAAATCATAGAGGACTCCAAGGCTCCAAGCATGGGTAACTGAAGCAATGGGGCATTAATTCTGCTTTCTTGTATGGAATTAATTTTCTTTCCCCTTTCATTCTCTTTTTTCCCTTGTTCTATCCTCTCTTTCTGCCTTTCTTTTTTGTAATCAACTTGTGAGTAAGGGATATTCAGGATTAGGTATTTCTTTTTCTGTTCTTCAGATGCTAAATATAGCTATCATATTATTATGGAAAAAAAAAACAGCGAAGAAAACATGTTTTTCAAAAAACCATGGAGGATTTAAGGTATGCTTTTATTCCATACCAAAAGACATGCTTCAGGAACAAATCTTGTTAGAACATTGTTTTATTTCCACATATGTCCAGAATTAGTGCAGAAACATCATTTACAAATTTACATTTTAAAAGTACTTTGATTTTGAATCAATAGACTAATCCTTTCAGTAACTCAAAAAGTAAAAAGAAATTCTTACTTCATAATTCTTTTGCTAATCAAAGAACTCAACAACTGAGTGAATGGAAGCAAGTAACTTGGACAAAGCACCTAATCCCTTCACCTCAGTCTCTCCTGTATGTCAACGGAAAGTAATGATACATTATTTCTTAACTTCTCTTGTGCTGGAGGAGAGCAAACCATTAAGCTAAGACATTTGTAGTGTAGACTATATACTAGCCAAAGATTTCCTGAAAGGACTAAGAAGGAAAAGATTATTTTGTTTTGATGGATGTGCTACTTGTTAACTAGAGTATTCTCATTACCAACTTATTTTAGGGACCTATCATTAATTTACACTTGTGTGGACTTCTGCACTAAAAATGGAGCTACTAGGTTAGTCCAGATTTTCTAAGAAGGAGAAAACATTATATGCAAAAGATTTATTTGTTAAAGGAGCCAGAGAAGGTAGGGGGACCTGCCTTCAGACCACATTACAATTGACAGCCTTTGCAAGGAGAGAGGAAAGGAAGAGGCGTCAGGTTGATAGTTTCAGACTTTAGCTCAATTGCAAAAACACATTCATCCACACCAGTGACAAGTCGTCTAGTTAGAGTTATCCATTGGTGGAGTCTCCTGTCTCACTAGAACAGGTCTGCAGTTGTTACACTGTCCTGCTCAGTGATTGGCTAGGAGTAAACTGAGGAAAGAGTGACCTTTGTGATGGTAAATGCAGAGGGGCAGCAGTGGGAAATCTGAGCAGTGCATTTTCACAGCTGCCACATCCACATACAGTAATAAAAATATCACTATTTTCAATTTTGCTAGCCTTTTGTTCTTACTGAACCTGCCATAAAGAAGCTTTATGTCTCCTAGACCATAAACATGTCCTATTCTGCAAGTTCATATCTGTCTTCTATTTTATCCCTAATCCTGGGAATATGGGTCAGGCATTTCAACTATGTCCCATTGAATTAGGTTTTCCTTCTTCCTCTTCTGTGAGCATCTCACTGATTCCAAACTCTCAGTAACTCTAAGAATTTCCTTTATTTTTCTAAGTTCTTGCTATACCCCATGTTTCTAGAGACAGTCATGTAAATATTTTGAATTGGGATCACAAGAGGTCATCTAAATTCGTTTAAATTATTGATTTTGGAGGTGGGTATAAGTGGGTTTCTAATTCTGGCTCCATTGTTTACTACCCATGTCAATTTCTACAAGGTGTGTAAACTTTATGCCTCAATTTTCTGACCTGATAAATAAAGATAGTAATATTTTCCTTTTGATATTATGGCCTTAGCATGTAGTACAAATAGTTAATGAATGACAGATACATTATTGATGACTTCAGCTAGGACTTATGGTGTGGTTTGGCCCTGTTTCCCCACCCAAATCTCATATCGAATTGTCATCCCCACTTGTCAAGGGAGGGGACCTGTAATCCCCACATGTCAAGGAAGGGAACTGATTGGATTATGGGGGCGGTTTCCCCCATACTGTTACTCATGATAGTAATCGAATTCACATGAGATCTGATGGTTTCATAAGTGGTAGTTTTTCCTGCGTGCTCACACTCACAAGAAGGTGCTTGCTTTCCCTTTGCCTTCCACCATGATGGTAAGTTTCCTGAGGCTTCCCCAGCCATGTGGAACTGTGAGTCAACTAAACCTCTTTCCTTTATGAATCTCCAAGTCTTGGGTAGTTCTTTATAGCAGTGTGAGAACGGACTAGTACAACTTACAACTTTTCTACACCTTTCCACGTCTTAAACTCCTAATTACGTTTTCAATGGGTTACTTCAAACCTACTTCCAGTCTTTCCAACTCATGTTATCTTCAGACCACATCTCCTATATTATTGGAAAGTGATGGTCCATCACTTGTTCAATATTTTTTGAGAGCCTGCTATGTGCCAGGAACAGTTTTTGGCAATGAGCGTATAATGGTGACAGACCAATTCCCCACCTTGATGGAGATTACAATCTATTTTGTGCAATGTACTTTCTTAACCTCTGTGCTTTACACTTCAACATCTCTTATGTATCTTTTCTTATTTCTTATTTCCCTTTTCTGCCTCAGTCCTGTCTCAGAGTAGATTGTTGTTATTCTTTCCCAAGATTAATCTAAATTCTTATTAGCTTTCCTGGAATCTTGCTTCAATAATGATTTCTTGATTGACTGTGTCTTCAGTTTCTATCTCCACTGGGTCATCTTTTGCTTTGCAGAAAAAAATTTCTCCCATTTCTACCAAAGAAAATCACAAACAAACCTTTCATGTGAATTTGCTTCTAGCTTTCTCTTTTCTTCCTTCTGTTTTCACTTGGCTTTCACACCCACAAGTCTATTTAAATATCTCTCTCTTAAATATGGCCTACTATGGCCTTCTCTTAGCTATTATTTTCCTTGAAATCTGAAGCACTAATTCTTAAAACATGTCTTCTATGACACTGCTTATACCCAGTTTGCCTTCTGTTTTTTATCACAATATGTCATTTTTTTCTCTTAATGTCATTTCTTCGTTGATTTCAATGGATATTTGTTGAGCGCCTGTTACAAGCACTGAAGTGCAAGTCATAAAACAGAATAAACAAATAGAAAACAATTATACGATTCTGTTTTCTATTTTTCTTACTAAAGCCTTAGAACTTTTCTCTTGGCAGACTCTCCCACTCTAATTCCCAATTTATCTATTCAATCGTAACTTTCCACTCAATTTTATTCCTGTGGTTGAACTTGCCCTCTGTTCCTTGGGTTCTATACCTGTTCCTCAAACAGCACATTTACAAACAGATGTTATTATATTCACCTCACCAGCACTTTCTTCTAAATTCTGTATATCTGCTAATGTCATCATCCACTCTAGCTTTAAAATACAAACTTATCTTTCCATTTCTTAAACCTATCTCTGATTTTTATCATTGTTATCATTTGTTTCTGGTTACTTTACTTCTTCCTTGGAGTATCACAGTTAAGTCCCGACTTTTTTGAAAACCAATTTTCCAAATTCCTTATCCCTGGTATTCAAAGTCCTCTAAAAACTGTCTCAATCTTATTTTCCATCTAATCTTCCATTTTCTGGTTTTATTTACTGTCTTTCCATATAAACTTCCCTACTTGTGATTTCCACTTTCACGCCTATTTGACCACATAAAGTCTATTCCTGTCATAACATGCAAATGCCTTTTGTTTATCTTAACTCATGGAACCCTTATCCATCCTCCAAGGTTCAACACAAATAACACTTCTTTAGACCCTCGTTATCCTTTGTCCCTCCAGATATAACCTCTCCCTCTTCTGAAAACAGTAGAATACTTTCTCTTGTCATTCATTTTATTTTGCTTTGCATCTCATCTCACTTATGAGATTTTGAAATCCTCAAAGACAGAGACTTGTGTCATTTAGGATACCAAACATACCACCTTATTCAATAAGCATGCACTAAAGAAAGAAATTAGTTGAGAAGATCTCCCTCTCCAAAAGTGAGGATTTATCACTGAAGTATACCAGTGAGGCAATAGACTGTATATCCTGGCTGAATAGCTCCTCTACAAGAACACAAAGTAATTGCTATGCATGCAGAATTTTCTCTTTCTCTGTTATCCATGTCTTACATTAAGGGAGCACCTCCTCTGAGCCAGACATAGGAAGAGGGTGGTACCAAGTCATGAGGACACAGTTTTTTCTCTGGGCATGTTTAATACCTCTGAGACTGATGTGCATGCAAATGGCTACAATGTAAAATAAAAGAAAATTTAGGTGGGAACTTACATTAAAAAGATATTCCAGATATAAAAATTGCTAAATGATGAATGGGTTTATAAGCATACTTTTGTGGAATATTCTCTATGAAACTTTAGAAAAATCAAGTAGATATCCTAATATATCCTTGAATGTTAGTTTAGCAAACAGTGATGAGTTTTCTAGAGCAAGTCTCAAAAATTATTAAATCTTGCAGAAATAGTATGTCTACTTTTCATAAAGCTACTCGGGCTTCCTAAATGTCCAGTTTGTTTGACTGGGGCTGGAGTTTTGAATCACAAGGTAATGTAAGTTACAATATTGTAAACAAAGTTTGCTTGATAAACAAATGTTTTAAAGGCATGATGAAAAAGGATTCTGAGTTTTCTTAAAAAAAGTTTATAATGAGCTCTGCCTGTGTTAGGGGTTGTGATCTTTGTTATAATCCATACATAGTATGTGCTTAGTATATGTTGGCTAAACCATGACAGTTGGAGAGCCCATCTGTCTATGAAGTTCTATAAAATAAGGATTTTTGAATTTTAGCTTTGGAAAGAAAAGGCTAGTTAAACATAGAAGAGTGCATGCCACTCCAGAGACTATTAAAATGTTCAGATGGGTAACATAGTCATATTTTCTAAAACTTAATTGAGTTATACAATATAATATAATCAGGAGCTAAGTGATATTCTATAACTTTTGAATACTGATTGTACTTCTAGTTTTTCCTTCCTGTTACCACTCTCTCCAGCTTAATTCAGACAGGAAAATTGGTACATTCTTTATGATCAGAAAGCATTCTTGTGTCATTAGACCATGCTAGATTAATAGTTTTTATAAACTGACAAGAGACCAAGTCATCATTACCTGGGGGGAAACACCTAAATCATCTGAAGATGGCTATTCAGTGCTGAAGGAAAGTTTGAGTTGACTGCTTTAGATACTAAGTCTCAATTCCCAGTTGGCAATGGTCAGGTTTGCTGAAAAATGGACAGTTTCCACCCTCGGGATGGGTCGATTATACTGGGAAATATATAGGAGGAGAGCTTGTCAAGGCAATTCAAGGAACAGAGCTGATATGTTCTAAAGGGAATTCTAATCTAGTCCTCAGATTGAATCATAAATGCTTATGTTTCATGGTCATATACAAATGTGCAGAAGATAAAGAGGAAGAAGCTAAAGAAAGAGCAATGAATGGAAGGTGTGAGAAGAAAAAAAATCAGAAAAGGCATAAAACTATTATATTTCAGCCTATCATTTGTTGAGATGAGAATAAAATACTGACTTGGGAGCAATTTTGGTGGTGGTTGAAATTTTTTGATACACATCTTTAATGGTGATTCATAGTCTGAGTATTGCACTACATTCAAGTCCCAGAATTCTAACAAATCATTCTAGTAACAAACTGTGGAAATTCATTGTTGTGTTGCTGGACTGGACAGCAGTCCAGTCCCTGGCTGAATGATTCTATATGTGATTCTTACGATTTTCTTGTAAAAAGAGACATCTTGCAAGAAATGAATTATTGCAGTTGTACATTTGTACTGAGTATGAAATGGGATGTGTAGTCATAAAGCAATTTGTAACCCCGAATCCAGGCTACCATTTGTATTTAAACATTCATTGCTTACAATCCACTGCTCCATACCAATTCAATTTGGTCAAGTGTCTTCTTGAAGGCTTATTTATATTTTACATGAAGATTTGTTATCATCCATACTTAATTGTAATTCCTTGGAATGTTTCATATTGATTACGTACCTACCTTTTGCATTCATGTTGTTCTGCCATATTATAATAATGGTTCTCAAGATGAGAGAGACTCTTTCAAATTAGTATTTTCTTCTATTTCTCAAGTTATTTATATTGATCTCATATGTTTTACTTGCATATGGATGTATGCAGCTAAATACAACCTCAAAAAGAAATAGGAAATGAAAATGATTAGACAATTTGAAATAATACTGGTAGCTAACACTCCTATATGGCTTACTATTTTTCAGACCTAGTTCAAACTGCTTTACATGTATTGAGTTATTTAAGCTTTAGAACAGCCATATTAAATATAACTACTATTAACTACACTTTACAAGGAGAAAAGTAAGGAGCAGAGAGCTGAAATATTCTTACTGAGTAAACATGGTGAGTAAGTAGCAGACTTAAGATTTGAACCCAGACAGTCTGACTTCTTGGTACTCTACTCTCTACTTCCACAACTAAACTTTTCTTGGTTAAGGAGTACATTCAGTACCTATTTTACTTCAAAGTTATATTTTAATATGATTATTTATTAACATGGGTATCCTTCCCTGAGCAAATTATGAGATTGTAAGTAAAAGAATCATGTTTTATTAAATTTGTCATATATAGTGTTCAATAAAATATTGAGTACTCCTGAATTACAGCTTATCATTGCCCTGAGATATTCTTTCTAGAGGACTTCCATTTTGTGGTTGTAGGTTTTACACAAAACTTTAAAATTCACAAGACCAAAAAAATGAAATTGTTATCACTAAGTTGGATGTTGTTTTCATGATACTGCTGTTTCTTAATTATTTTTGAAAATAGAATAGCATGAATGAAGTAGACTAGATTTGAGTAAAACAACTTTACAATCATGATACTTTGTTGAAATTCTGTTCTTTTTATTATTCTTTCCTATAGGGTGCTGCTTTAATAAGAATGCTGGCTAATTTTATGGGCCATTCAGTTTTCCAGAGGGGTTTGCAAGTAAGTAAAATGCTTTTTATTTTCTTTTACATTTTTCCTTGTCAATATATTTCACAGCTTAGGAAATGGCTAATACAAAATTGCTGAACTTGGTGGAAAACTTTAAGATGTGTAAGTTAAGCAATGTCTTTCTATATGACAAATGAAAATTCTAGATAGGATACTCACGATATCAACTGACAAAACTTGAACTGTTGAACAATTTAGAATCTGTTTGATTTGCATTTTTAAATTGAAGTAATTTTAAAATATGCCAGATTCTAAATGTTCTATAAAAGACTTCCAGAAAGACTGCCTTCTTTTTCTTCCATTTAAAGATTCAAATAAGGTGAAACAAATTTTGTTAGTGTTATTCGAATTATGTATTTGAGAAATCTTAAGGCTATTTTTCAAATATGCGCCTTTTAGGTTTTTGTTATTTTGCTGTTGATATACATAGATTATTTGTTCCAAAGGTTTTTAATTGTTTTTATTTTAATTAGAAAATATGTTTTTCTTAAAAAAGGAAGAAAAAGATACAGTTTTTATCATAATGTGTTTAGAGTATGAAGTATAGAATCTAAGAATGAATTCTTAGAAAAGGAAGATTATTAAACTTCTTAAAGCAGACACAAGTATACTGAAAAAACTTTTATTCCATTGAATCTGCTGGAGCAAATCATGTTCCTAGTAGCTGTGATTGATGAATTATTTATGATGCATTCTGCTACTTAGAAGTGTCCTTTAAAGTAAATTGATGTTCACCTGAAACACAATTATGCTAAGACAGAGAGAGCAATCAATCTTATCTGTTCTTAGTAAGCTTTTCATTTTGAAATTTAAATAAACTACATCTGGGTCCAGGTCATATTTTAGTAGTATAATTCTATCTGTACCCCCAAATAAATTGAAAGATAAAATACAAGGCAAGAGTTAACTATGTTATGACAAACTCTCTCTCTATACTTAACACAACAGAAACTATATATAAAAATAAATTTTTTGAAGAATAATTTCCCTCAGAAAATATTTTTACAGATTTGTTCCAGCAGGGTTTGAAATTTACTTTAATCAGCTCTTTCCATTAGGGACACCTTCAGAATAGCTGAATCCATTGAATCTATTTGCTGTATGTTAACAGCTCTATTCTGATCACATAGTTGGGAAAATCTTTTTTTCTCAAGGAGTATCCTTCATGAATATCAGCTATCTGGAGGAATGTCCTTCTTTATCCCCATTCCTTTGTTTTTCCCCATTGAAGTTGTAGCATGACAGTTTCAGAAAATATCTAACTGTTCATAAGGGCAACATAAATTGAATTTGATTTCTTCATAGCAAGTTGATGTGAAATCATTTTCTGTATAAAATTCTTATTGTTTTTCTTCATCTGTGTGTATGGATTTGCTCAGCAGATTGAATAACTACAGTTATATTATTTGGAAAGGATTATTATTTGGAAAGGATTATTATTATTATTATTATTATTATTATTATTATGAACGTTTTTGTTCATCCTGTCATACTTTCTATGGTGTGCAAAATATATCAATTTTTAATACATTCTTTTCCACTGACCCACTCTGCTCAGTTTTATATGAAACAGTTAGAATATAGCCTCTGACTCATATCATATTAAACTTTCATTCCAAGCTTGTATTAATGTGTGCCTTTATGCTCTGATACTTGATATGGTTAATTTTCAACTGAGGTACTCTATGTTTGTCAACACTGCATTTCATTTGCCTGGTGACATCTCATTGATCAGATAGATCTGTATCCTTCAGTACTTCGCTTGCAGCTTTATTTATACTCATCACTCAAACTGATTTAGTGTATCATCAGCAGTTTGGATTAGTTTACAGTAGATCCCTACATCTAGGTGATAAATTATCATCTCTTGTGCATGAAGATGTATGGGATACATTTTGGAGTTGACCTCCTGAATAGACACTTGATGTCATGGTGCTGAGTGGTCACAGAGTTGATATTAATGTGCTTCCCATCCAGAAGGCCCTGGGGAGTCTTGGTTTACAAGTTGTTGAAAGAGCTAATCTAGGCTGTCAGCACTTATCTCTGCTGGAAAACCTATGAATTGTTTTTACATTAACCATGGTTATTTCCATGTTGACAAATGAAAGTTTACTACTTGCAATTCCAAATTGCAGATAGTGTGTTTTTCATATATGTTTTTATTCTCCCCCCTTTTTTTCTCCTTTTTTCTCTTTTTCTCTCTTGCTCTCTTTTCTTCCTTTCTTCTTTTTTTCTGGACTCAGACCTTAAACTTCATGTTCCACATAGGAACAATGTCTTAATGCTCTTTCTTCTTGATTTATTATCTACCTGAAATTTGTGTTCTCTTGCAATTTATGTATCCTTACGACCCACCTTAAGGTCTTTTGGAAACAAGGTAAACTTTTTAAAAATACATACATGTATATGTGTGTGTGTATATGTATATGTAATATAGAAAGGTAGTAGGTTTCTGGGTTAGTTCACATACTCATATTTAACTTATAAAGCATCGGTGTAGATTCAACTACATTTTCAATTTTTTGTAATGTTTTGTATGGGAATATATTTTAAATTTCAATTTAAACATATATTTTTCAGCAGGAAGAGACTCTAGAGGCTTTCTGAGAAAAATTTTGTTTCTATAGTCATATTACCCATTGGTTCAGCTATGAGAAAGTTTAGGAGAACAATTTCTTACTGAACAATCACAGCTTTTGTTGGTGATTTGTTGGTGATACCACCAGCAAATTAGCTTCCATTTTAATGTTTTAATTGAAAGTGGAACTGGACTGAATTGAGCTTGAACATTTCTGTGGTTAGATTATGTGTCACTAATAAATATTTTTTAAATGCAAAAATGTTTACATTTTTGCAAATTCTACATGTCTACTGTTCTATGTAATCCATTTCCCAAAATGATAGCAGGCATATTTTGAGAAACATGAGGCAATAGAATAAATAAGGAGAAATAATTCTCATTTCTATCTCCAGTTAATAGCGGTTTTCTGCAAGTCACTAGACCTCTCTTGACCTCTGACATTACAGTTATGAAATGTTTAAGAGTTGAACTAAATACTGTAAGATTCCTTTTATCTTTTATATTCTCTAAATCTAGGATTACTTTAATGCAGTTTACTAGTTAGACAATTTGGGTTTGATATATTTAATTTGGGACAGCTGTTTTAATTTGATGGACACATTTGTAAACTAGATATGCAAGAGTGAGTGACTCCCTTTTTTTGAATCTTTAATCATTTGAATATTTAGACTGTATTATATGACTATCAATACATATAGAACTATAACTGTAGTCAAACCAGATCAGCATTTTTGTAACAGGGAGTTTTTGCTGGTAATAGTTTTATTTTGCTAGTATAAGGAAACAACTTCTATTTCCTTGGCTTTTATTTACTTGTTCACTTTCATAATTGGCTCTGGATACTTTATAATTTTATGATTAAGCTACAGTGGTTTTAGATGTTATATGCTAAGAACTGTTGAAATTTCTTGGTGATTTTCAGTGTAAATTCCATCTTCTAATGTTGGAATTTCTACTTGAACTCTTGAAATCTGGTGAAACCAATTCTATTTATTGGTTTTGCATTTAGGTATATTGGAGTTGGTTTTGAGAAGAGCCAACATCCTCCTTGATGAGTGACGTTACAGGGAACTCAAACAAGGGGAATTTACTTTTTCAGAGACAAGAAAAGCTACCACGGTGGCTCAGTGAAATTTAGACCTTCAAGTCCTGCATTCCGATTCTTCATCCTACACTTTCCTTGTCAATACCCTAACTCTCACATAAAAGATCTAATAAATCCATGAAATTTACTTGAGTTGTAATTTTGCCACTCAGAATTTTAAATCATAGTTTTCTTTTTGGATACATTGATTCAAAGCCTGTAAGAGATACATGATTCTTTTCACATAGTCATAGATCTCTGGTTCCCTGCCAAACCTTCAGCTGAGAATTTAAAGCACTAAGGTTGTTGTTTTGGTTTTTGTAATCTCTCCAGTCCAGGCAGAAATAGCCAAGCCTCTCAAAGACTTTGTAATTCTCTATTCTGTTATAATGTTCTATTGAAACAGTCATTTGTTTTCCCAGTGCTTATTCTTCAGTTTAGGAAACTATCGATGATCATTTAAGAAGCTGTTTTGGCTCTGAAAATGATTAACTATCATGATCCTATCACTCATTATTAATGACATTACCTTCTTTAAATCTAATCAAGGCAGGCAAACAATTGTAGATAACCATCTCTGAGGGTCTACAATCACTTCTGGTACATAATTCTGTAACATACTAAAACCCTTAGTAATATTTCAAGCAGAAAGGGAATTAACATTGGATATAGTCATTTTCTAAAACTGTTGGCAGGGTTATGGAAGTAAAGGTCAGGAAAGCCACTGCCAGCCTTCCAGAAATAAAGGCATTTGGGTTTCATAGGGAAGTAATACACAAATTCTCAGCTGCCTAGAGTACACCTGAAAGCCACTGGTAATACTTTACCCCTGCCTTCTGACAAAGCCCACATGCCTGCTCTCTGCTATCTGAGCAGTGACAACTCCTCCTTCTTTACTGCTATCCATATCTTTTATGTGTGCTTTTCATTTTGCAGAACATAAAGTTGAACCTAACTAGCAAAGGATTCTTGGAAATGTAGCATTCAAGCTTCTAACCCATACAGTGCACAGGAGTGTAGATGGCAGGGGAAGTGGTGGTGAATGGCTAACCGTCTGACACATTTGATCCATAAATGTCTTTGTCCTATTGATTAAATATTATTTGCATTATTTTTACTTGTTTTTTTTTTTTACCATATGGAGATTTAAAAAGTATTAACTCCTTTATTCATCTCTTCCTTAATATTGTATTAAGACCATATGATACTTCTCTAGCTAGAGCAGAGAATGTTCTCAGCTGATTTCAACAATTTTACCAGGACATATGATGAGAGATATAAGGAAATCAAATCAACAATTACCACATTTTACTAACCTCATAACTTCAATCCAGTTGCTTGTGGTCTGTAATGTCCAATTTTCTCTTTGAATGAGTTGATTTGATTATATCAGGATGAATCAGTACCAGTAATATATAAAATTTGTAAATTTCTAAAGTGATTACTCATAAAATAAGGATCTGGAAAAAAGACGGGAGTTTACTACTGTGAATAATTGTTTTGCTTTTTGATTAACTTACGAATTTAGCCTTTGGTTTGCATAATCACAACTGTAGGATCCTCATTCCTACCTCCCCAGGTGGGCCAATCCTCTTGGGATAAGTTAAAGTACAGCAGCAGTTTGCCTAAATTGCTTTTGATTTAAGACCACCTCTATACAGGACATCTGGAAAGCAAGATTATGTGTTCTCCCAACCCAGGACTTTCTCCTAGCAATAATTCCAAAGAGTAATGATGACTAAGAAAACATCTGCATAATACATGACCTATTGCAACTTAAGCAGAGTCAGTGAGAAATGCAATAGGCAGGTTGGCAATAACCAGAAACTGTCTCTTGCACAGAAGCTCAAGTTACACTTTTTAAATATAATATCATTCTTATCTTTAGCACCTCATTTTTGTTTGTGGTATACACATCTCCAAATTCCTTCCTAGGTCATTTGTAAGGACAAGCTAGCAAGATCACTCATGGGTTTCATGCCTATTTAATATTTATACTATTGGAATCTGGTTTTGTCATTAAAATGTTGCAAATGTAAGTAGAGTCCTTACTAGTGTAACATTGGGGTGGAATATATGCAGTGCAAACCCACTTCTATCCTCTCTTCCTCTTGGACAGACTTTAGGACCCAGTGTTGTTGAATTTCCCTTTCTGTGTGGTACCTGGAGTATAAATATACTGCAATTTTGCCCTCATTTTTTTGTCTGTCTCTGTAGAAGTTCTTAGTGATTTCACATATCTCCCTGAAATATTCCCTTCTCCTATAAATAAATATTTTATCTAAATTCCTTCTGTAATAAAAATTTCTCACCTTACAGCATCTTTTGGTAATTCTTGCATTGCATCTTTGACTTACAGGGTTCTTAGTGCTTACATACATATACATTACTATTCATCCATATACAACAATGCTTATAGTTAAAATATTCATTTGATCAATAAATTAGAATCTACTTCTTTAACCTTGTTTTTATAATCTAAGTTCAATAGCTCAAATCCTGATTCTACGTAAGTAGAATAAGTCTTACTTTTAAAGTAAGTAATTCAAGTAATTATTCTTTTGGATATATATCTTTACATGACTTGGATTTTTCTTATTTTGTTTTTATGTTTTAATCTCCCTAATTACATTTTTTTCAGATTTTTCTGGAAATAAAAATTAAAGCTGTAATTATGAAATCCTCACATAAAATTGATTGGCTAGGTAGCTATTAAAAAAAATTAGTACCTGTGCTATGGCTTTTTCTTTCAAACAAAACAATATTGTTTTAATGATTTGAGCCTAGTAGTACCATTCTTCATGTTGTTATGAGTCAACACCAGGGTATTGAAATTATAAAGAAAGATCATTATTAAGCTTGATATAAACTCAAAGCCTAAAATCCCTGTCAGAAATTGAGTCACCTTCCTGCTCAAGCAGTGAGGGTAATTCACCATCATCTAAAATATGGTTGAATAAAGAAAGATTTATCTTGATTAGTATTTAACTGCTCTTTTCCATAAGGTAACCTACAACAAGATGTTTGGCTCCAATTATCAGGGTGGAAATTGCTTATGCAAATCAATGTAAGGCAATGAGGTGTGGATAAAAAGCAAAAAGGAAATATCATTATTATTGGTTTGTGCTCATAAAATTCTGATAGCCTGAAGGTAATGACAGGCACAAAGCCATAGGGATTATTAGTAGCAACAACATACTCAATAACTTGTGTTCCAATGTGGTGTTATGTGGTAACATGTGTATGCAGGATTTTTAGTTGAAAACTGCAGGCTTACATTTGTGAGAGAGTGTTTTGTCCCTTACATGTAGGTTTTCAGATAAGTAAAAAGTCAGAAAATCATAGAGGAGCAGAGACAGTATGTCAAAGTTAATTTTCTTTCTGAAGAGATAATATTGTGTTTTTATCCAGATGGCAGCTGAATCATACTCAATCTAAAATGAATGACCATAGAAGCTTTTGCTCAAATGTCTCCTAGTTTTGCTTAAAATGCTGTGCAGTTTTAGATATGCTATCGGTAAAAAGGTTAATAACTTGAAAATAATTTGATGTGTTCAATGTCATATGATAATAATGTTATCATTACTAATTTTTTAATTATTGGATTTGACTTAATTGGCATTTAATTTATTAATGACCTAACTATAACGGAAAATTAATGAGCATGTTATAGAGAAAGAAATATTTAAGTTTGAGAAAAGATTTGATGGATTTCAGAATTAAAAATTCCATCTTTAATACAAACAAATACTTTAAAAAAAGTAAATAGCATTCTGTATTCATATTTCTGGATCAGAGAGAAATAACTTTTATTCATCAATTTTTAAAATATATAGCCACTGATTGAATCTTTATTATTTTGCTTCTAATTTAAAGGTTGTTAACCGACCAATGTGGCTATATAATATTAACTAAAAAACTCGTATTTTTAGAGATATATATCTCTATTTAATAATCCTGCAGGCATTTGTCTAGCTCAACAGGAGGCCTCATAAATTTATATTTATTGGTTATCTTTTATCTATTAGTTAAGGGCTCAAGATGTATTACATATTAGCTAATCGGGTTGATATTATAAAATGACTTTTTGGTTATTTAAATGTATCTATGAAATTATTAGACATATTTAGTTGATGTATGGATGTATCTGTATGTTAGTATGTGTAAATCTGTAATTACAGATGCCAGTCTGTAATTATGCCAATTACAGATGCCGATTACAGATGCCAATCTGTAATTATGGACATACCTGCTAAAAACTGTCTCTGACTCTTTGTACACATTGCCATTTGGTTAAAGTGCTAGTTCAGTAGTACAATAAACTTGCCTTACAGGCATTTTTCTGTAACCTACTTAGCTTCTGCATCAGCAGTTTTCTTTCTTTTCCTTTTAAAATTTATTTTTCTTTTTATTTTATGTTCTATTTTTGGAAAGTGCATGTAATAGCCTAGAACTATATATTTGGAAAGGTTACAAAAAATTCCTCCTAATTTAAAAATATTTCTCCTCATTTACTAATATTTTTATAATTGCTTGACATGATTCTGTTACATAGCTTAGTTTAATACTAGTAATATGACGTAGGGGTACCATAATATATTTCGCTTTGTCCATGTTTGTGAGCATTTACTTTGGTGTCTAATTTTTGTTAAATAACACTCTAATAATCTTTACATTGTTGATTTTTTCCATTATATTTTCAACTATCTCTTCATATATATTTTTAGGAGCATAGTATCAATATTTTCTCCAAAATGTTAAACTAGTGTATAATGCTAGAAGTTTGAAAGTTCTCTGTTTATACTACACTAAGTAAACAGGATTCTTATAAATTTTCAAAATAAATTTCTTACTAATTTAGCAAGTAAAAAACTTTTTCCATTATTTCAGTGTATACATTATATCATAAATGAGACTATGAAATATTTTAATACATTCTCTGCTTGCATTTCACTCTTTTCATTTATTCTTTTATAACATTTATCCATGTGTCTTATGCATTAAAATTGAGGTCTTATTCTCTTTTTAGTAACTTTATATAGTTATAAAATAAAAGTAACAAACTATAACATATTTACTACAAACTATTTTTCCTCTATATTTAATATGTCAAAATTATTGTTATGAAAAAATACGTTACAAATTAGTGGCTTAGGAGTGTTGCAAAGACTTAAGTTACATGTTTTGAACCTGGTTTACAAAAGATTCATATGCATCCAAAATTCTCTTTTGGTCTACCTCTGTATTTTTGTTTATGGAAGAGAGAGCTTCATGTTAGCATGGCACACAAAGAAATGGTAGTACCCATTTGTTACACTGAATCTAATTTTCTTTTCCAATCGGTCTCCTGTATTCACCTTCTCTCTTCTGCTCAAGGTTTCTCCCTATGATTATTTTACTGATCATTTTCTTTTCCATTTAAGAACAATAACACATATAAGTGTTAAAAAGTCATTTCTTAATGTTTTGTGCTAACAAAACAAAATTATAATTTATCTTCCTGTACCAGCTTTGCTTAGTTTTGTATATACAGTTCACATACCCCACCATTTGACATGTCCAGTCATTCATTTATTCCACATGTATTTATTATGCATCTAGTCTATGTCAGACATCATGATAAGTACCAAGTATTCAGGGCATGGTCCTGAATACACAGCGGATATGGTCCCTGTTCTCATGTATCATGTAACAGGATAAAGGGGACACACGATAGATAGGAAAAAACAAATAAATATATTTTTTTGCTCAATGTGAAAAAAATGCTAGGAAGCAAAAAATAGGATGCTGTGAGAAAGCATAGTGAGTGGGTGGTTGGAGCAACTCTAGATCGGGTGTTTAGGGAATCCTTCTTGAGAAGACGGTAGGTATGCTGAGGTCTGAAGGAAGAAAGACGGGGGTCAGGGAGATTCCAAGAAGAGGGAGGAGCCCTACAAAGGGTTAAGACAAGAACTGAGCATGTTTTAGGAAAAGAAAGAAACTGGTGGATGAGTAGAGTTAGTAAGAACAAGAGGTAGGTGAGGTGAGCAGCAGCCAACCATGCATTGCCCAATAGTCTGTGCTAAGAAGATTCCATATTATTCCAAGTGCTGTATTAAACGGTTTTAAACTGGATATGACATGGCTCTATTTACATACAGAACAGTTCTCTGGCTAATTGTAATAATACCCTGGGATTGGGGCAGTCAGCATACCAAGAAAGGGATTGGGCAAAAAAAGTGAGGAGGATATTTTTATATTCAGGTAAGAGATTATCAAGGCTTAAATGGTTCATAGAAATAGAGACATAGATGGATCTGAAATGTTTTTTAATGGTCGAATACAATGGGCCTAGGGATAAATTCGGTGAAGAGAGTGGTATGCGAGATGAGGAAGAGAATGTAATCAAGAATGATTCTGAGGTTTCTGGGATGAGGACCTGGAAACACGCCTTGAACAACTGTAACAACTGGAGGTTAAGAGAAAAGGAGGAGCCCATGGAGGTGACTGAGATGGAACAGCTAGAGAGGCAGGCAGAGTACCAAGGGAATCGTGTCACAAATGCTTAGAGAAGAGCTTGTTTCAAGAACAAGAAAGTGGCCAACAATGTTAAATGGAGTAACAAGGTGGAGAAGGGTAACGACTGTAAACTGTTCCTTTTGGTAGCCTGTAAATTCATTGATTTCAGTGGAGTAGGTTAAAGAGTGAATGGGAATGTGGAAATGGAAACAGAGTATGTAGAATAAAATTAAACAAATTTTTCAAGGAAGGAGATAAGAAAAACAGGGTCAGTTGTTAGAGGGGGATAAAGGCTAAGGAAGATTTTTGTTTTATTTTTAAAGATTAGAGGGAGCTGTAATGGTTTTAAGCTGGCAGAGAAAGGAGATGATAATGTTGGAGAAGTGAGAAATAACTCCAGGACCTTGCTCATTGAGAAGGTGAGGCACTTGTCTTTAATAGGAGACTTATCTCCAGTAAATTTGGAAAGCTGGCAATGGGGAAATCAGAGAAATCCTTTCTGATGATTTATATTTTTTCAGTGTTTTTTGAGAGAAGGTCAGTAGCTGAATGAAAGTGAGATGAGAGTGGGAAGTGGAGAAATTTGAAAATAGAGAATTCAAAGAGTAGAAAGGTACTTTCTGACAGTTTTGAGTTTCTATTTGTATTTGGTGATTATGAATTTATCATAAGCTCAGCTTTTCAATGGCATGATTTTCTTCTGTGATATTCAGCTGTATGATTACAGGTTTAGAGAAGATAAATACTTGGATTCCTCCAGGATTGGGATTTTTGCCAAGCTACTATAATTGAAGGACAGTACAACAAAAAAGATGAGGCTTTTTTCTAGGATTTGATTAAGATGATCTATGAAATCTAATCTGGATACTCAGGGAAGAGAAGACAGGAAGAATCTGATAGACAAATAACCCACCATTAATAATAATAACAGTAAGATTAGTGTCTTTATTGCATTAGTGCCAGCTTGGGTAAGTCTCTTTTGTGCTGAGTCGAATTAGTGTGCCCATTCCATGAACTGCCCATCAGGGGTCTTGTCATCTCAGTAGAGCTCAGTGAAAGACAGGCTGCTAGACCCCACAACTTGGAAGAACTGTCCAAAACCCATTACTTTCCTGTATTTGGAAGGAAGTCTTCTAAGCAGCTTTCCAGAAGCCTAAAGGAAGCTTTGTTCTTAATTTTTCTTTTCTTTTTCTACCGCTCCACCACACCCCCCACCCCACCCAGGCAATTTCCTCCTTCAGGTTAGTACATATAATTTTCTTTTCTTTCCTTTCCTTTCGTCTCCTCTCCTCTCCTCTTCTCTGTTCTTTTCTTTTCCTTCTTTTTTTTTTTTTTTTTATTTGGAGTTTCGCTCTTGTCACCCAGGCTGGAGTACAATGGTACAACCTCAACGCACTGCAACTTCTGCCTCCTGGGTTCAAGCCATCTCCTGCCTCAGCCTCCTGAGTAGCTGGGATTACAGGTGGCTGCCACCTCACCTGGCTAATTTTTGTATTTTTAGTAGAGATGGGGTTTCACCACGTTGGCCAGGCTGGTCTCGAACTCCTGACCTCAGGTGATTCATGCGCTTCGGCCTCCCAAAGTGCCAGGATTACAGGAGTGAGCCACCGCTCCCGGCCAAGTCCATATAATTTTCTTATAGTGTTTCTAGAACATTTTGGCTTCTCTTGGAGGGAAGATTGAAGAAGACTTTTGACACCAGCCCTTTTTTTCCCATTTATCTTGCTATTAAAATAACTGAAGTTTCTTGGATTCTTTATGTGGCTGGTATTTTTCTAAGTCGTTTATTTGTTTTATATCATTTTCTCTGCATACCCTTATCAGGTAAGCACTACATTATGTACATTTTTCAGTTGAAGAAATTAAGGTTTAGAGAAAATAGATACTTTATCCAAGATCACATGACTGGTAGGAATCAGCATGGGTTAATAACTATACCTAGTTTATATATATCTTCTTTCTCAACTAAATTACATTTCTTCCCAAGTTGTCACCAGCACCGGGGCTGAGAGAGCGAAGAGGTGGGAGAGGGAACTCTGTGTACATGCCTGCAATCAGTGGGCAACTTGATTTACAAGAAGCAGTCCATTTTTACCAGCCAGGATGTAATTTATCTATTTTGGGAGTGAATGGTGATCAAAGCCCTTGATCAGGATATTCAGAAAAAGCAATTCACAAATTTCATTTTTACCAATAGATTCACTTTATGTCTCAGTAATATTTCATACCAGCAGCAAAAGTGAGAGGTAGAAATATTTTAGAACCCCAGAACTCCTCTATAGACTATGACACTTACATTATTTCACTGACAGGTGTAGGACCCTGTCACCTTGTTCTGGAATGGCATACAAATCCTACAGTGGAAATATTGTAACTCTGGTCATGTGCCTGCATGTTGAGGAATTGGTGGTATGATCTATAATTACAACATAGGAGATATTTGAAAACAAAAGTGATGTGAGAAGATGCCATTGTCTGTAATTTAAAGCAAACAAGCAAGAAAAACTTTCATGAGCTGGCAGGTTGTTTTGATTTACAATGTTGTGATGTTCTACTACATTTAGCAGCCACTTATAAAAATATACTTATTCTTACAAAATTTACATTGATTGGGTGGAGTAATGGATTTGTATAACATGTAAAATGCCTTTTTTGTTCCTAGCAAACTATCTGAATACTCCCATATCTAAGCAAGCCACTTCTAAAGGTAAATTTAGGGTAAACACATTTACAAATTCAGTCAGAATGGTATACAAACCATGAAAACTGACTTTCAACTATCCTTCTTCTATCTCTCCAATAGCTTTCTTTCCTAAATCTGTCATCTCTTTCTTTCTTTTCATGTCCAGTGGCTTGAACTGCTATACCTCAAAAAGTTTAGTAATGGTTCTTATTATACTGGAGTTATGTCTTGGAAACCTAATATAATTTAATAATAAAGGTTTCAATAATTATACCTTTTCATCTTTGACTCTTATCTAATAGAATTAAAATATAAACATTATTTTTTAATCTTTGCATAAAGCTTTCTTAGGGATTTGTTACTCATTTTTACTTAATCTTAAAATTTCCATCAATTTCTAGGTATGAATCCACATAGACACCTTGGTCTATAGTCTAGCTTTCTTTGTTTAAGTTGGTCATCTGTCACTGTTGTAGTCTCCTTGCTCCTGTTTCTCAAGGTTAGGGAATGTGAAAACATCCTCTGAAGTGCATGGGCCAGGCTTCAAATGGGTTTTATTCAACTCTTGTGTGACTTTGCTGTGATCTGATACTTTTAGTCTACTTTTGTTGTTGTTTATGGATCCCTTTAAGATCATCTTACTCTAATAATGCACATACTTACAAATGTATAAGCTCAGAACTTACGGTTCTCAGTTCAAAAGCCCCTGCTTTGGAAGCTTTGTTTAAGACAAAAACTGTTGCTTTTTAAAATGTTTTTGTTGTTGTCACTCTGTCTGCCCCCCAGTCTATAGAACCTTCTGCACTTTATTTCAGTTTTAATCTTTCTCTCCAACATTCTTGTCTGCTTTTAAAACATAAAAATTAAATATACATGTCTTTCACGCCATATCTACTGTTCATAAGAACAACAAAAGCCTAACTGATGTACTAAATAGAATTTAGTGTTCTTTAGTTTTTATTTTGTATAAGTTGTAGGCAATAGTTTAATTTCTTACTACGGGTTGCCAAGATAATGTAGAAGTGTCTTCCTTCATTTTGCTTAACCCATTAGGGTTGTATTATGCAAGCAACAGAAACAAATTCTGGTTAAATCAGGCAGAAAGGAAATTATCTGAAGGATATAGGTAGCCCATTGAATCATTGGGAAGGATGAAGAACCAGGCTTACAAAATAGAATAAGAACTAAAGTAGACTCAGAAATCAAGAGATGTAGCCAAGGTTATGCCACAGGAGTGAAGGTTTAGCTGTTCCCATTAGAGTGGCTACCACAGGACCCTCAGTGTCACCATGACAGGCACTACTCTTTTAGGATTCATAGTCCTAGGACGAAGCATCCCCTTGTCTGAGGCCAGAGCACATGCCCAGGCTTTAGCTGCCAGGCAAAGTGGAGAGGGAATATTTAGTATTTTGTCCCTTCCATTTCAGTAGAGGGAGGCAGAGATTTTGCCTTCTTCCCAGATTCCATTGTGAGTGATTGCCCCCGTATAAAACTGGTATTTAAATGCTGGAAAGCCAAAAAAATGACAAATGCACACTACAAATTTTTTTGAGGTACAATTATTCTTGATAGAAAGCAACAATATTTCAAACTCTTGCTTCAGCCTTCTTGTCACATCTTCAGAAAAATCAGTGCTTGAATTTACCTAGCATTTCCAGACTAGTCTTACAACTATAGGACATCCTACTTCCCAGTGTCAATGAGTCCCAGGCTGCTGTACCCTGTCTCACTGGAGAAAGCACTATTGGTGGTGGTCTCCCTATACCTAGTTGTCCTCTCTTTTTTATTAGCTGAATTCTGATTTTTTTCTTTTAAGTTCTCACCCTGTTATAAACAGCCATATTCTTTAGAGGACTATGTCTTTCCTTGGGTAAAGTTCAAACAATGCCTCCTTAAGATGCAGTAACAGATTCTTGCTAGAGCACATGGTGCAATGTTGACAGATGACAAATGTGGGAAATTTGCTGCAGAATTTGAGGGGAAGTTTTCCTGATTCCTTAAAGGAGGTTCTCAGGAAGAAATTCTGTATCTTTCCTCTGTACAATGTCACATCTGAATATGATGCTTGGGATTGCTGCTGCCATCTAGCCATGAACCTGAGAAGCCAAATCATAGATGGGGTGGGACCAAAATAATTCCAGAAGAAAGTGGCTGCAGCTCTGTCCTACCTACTTATGATAGGAAAGAATAAATACTCCTATTTTAAAAGTCATTCTAGGGTGGATGTTTATTACTTGCAGCTAAACACATGTAAATGAATCCATATGGTTTTTATGGAATCATCCCTTTATGTCTCAAGGAGTAAACCATTTATGTGGTTAATCCTCTATCCTAGCATGCTAAAAGACTCATTAATAGGAAAGCAATTATTCCATAATTATTTCCATGTAAATCTTAAAAGATAATAGTGCTTTACTTCCTTAACTCACTCTTTACTTTTCCCCTTGTCTTTATTAGTCCTGTTGGCTTTTACACATGACATGTTATGAAGCACATCACTTGTTAGCAAATGAAATAAAACAAAAATGGTCTCGTATGTAATCATTCACAATTTTTGGTGACATTATATGCAATCGCATATATCCATTCAAGTTATATGCCTGACAAGTATATACTGAAATAATGAATTATGTCCTGTATTAATATTTAAATATGATATTTTGGGGGATCCTGACAGATATAAGTAATCTATGCTTACTGCATTGTCAGTTATCAACAGAAACAAATATTGCAAAAAGAAAGACAAATCACACACACACACACACACATACATGCTCTTATTACTGCATTTTAAATACATATATATGGAGAGAGAGGACAGGGAGAGAGAGGAGAGAGAGAGAGAGAGAGAAAGCACCTATTGTGTACCAGACTGGGCACAAAGATGTTGGTTAAATAGTGGTAAACAAGACTGGCAGGATCATTACTCTCACGGATTTTACAGGCTGTGTGAACAGTCAAACTAATAAACAGGCACCTATGACACAGTGGGATAAATGCTATTATATAGAACATTGTGTGACAATATAAAAGAGATATTTAACTTAGGAAGGAGGTTGAAGTGGATGGGGAATGATTCCTGGAGGAAATGCATCAAAATTGAGTCCTGGAAATTGAATTGAATTGAGGTAGGCAAAGGAGAAAAGAATATGTAGAGAATTGCATGTGCAGAGAACCAGAAATGAGATAAAATATCCATTAGGCATCTTCAGAAAGCTGAAAGTGGCTAAATTAATGCAGGGAGCAACAAGTTAACAAATGGGATTTGAGAAATACAGAGGGACAAGATTATGAGGGCCATTTTTAGGTTATATTAAGGAGTTTGGACTATATTCTGAACATAGCAGGGATTTATGTGTGTATTTGATCAAAAATATTCTGGCTTTGTGGGAGAGACTAGATGTGAAAGGGACAAATCAGAAGCAAGGGCAGCTGTCATCACCCATGTAAGATTCTGTAGAGTAGACAAACAGGTAAGGGAAAGTGGGAATCTTGGAGTATATTTAGGTCATGGATTATTAATTGAATATGGTGGAAAGGGTGATCAAGGCATCAAGATAACCCTTTGCTAGAGGTGGATGAGAAGGTCTTCACTGGAGAAGGGCCACCAAAAGGAGCCAATATAGGGGAGGATAATGAGTTCAGTTTTTAATAGGACTCAGTTATCTATGTGGCTAATAGGACTCAGTTATCTATGTGGCTTGGATATCTTGGATATTGGATTTGGGTAGGCACAGGCATGGGGTTTGGATGTAGGCTGAAGACTCTGAGTTCCAATGTTCTGATTTCTTAAATGATGATAATAATGTCTACCTCTAATGTGTTGTGTGGATTGAATGAGATAAAATATAAGGCAACTCGCACAGTGTTAAAAAGGAGACAAATATTACGGTTTTCATGTGCTGTGCTCTTTCATTATTATTGATAATGATGCATTTCCTTCTCAGTTACTCAGTTTTCCAACCTATAGCCTGAGATTATTAAAAAGATTACCAGAGAGAATGCCCACTGAATATTTATGATGTGCTAGGCACTATTCATTCTTTTAACACTGTATATTGAATCATTCAATTCTCAGAAAAAATATATACAGTAGTTATTTTATTATCCCCATTGTTATATATGTGAAGATAGGCACAAAGAGTTAAACAGCTTTCTAAAGCTCATATAGCTAGTGAATGTTGGACCTTGTGTTTGAACCAAGGCAGGCTCTTGTTACTGCATTTTAAACCACTATGCTATGATACCTCTCTCCATAGGCAGATGTAATATATTCTTGTTAAATAGAGTTTTAACTTTTAATCAGTCTATATTATTTGGTATGTCTCTTAAGAATATTCTGGTGATTATCTTTATTTGATTCCTTACAATAACTCTATTATTTCTGAAATACCTAGTATAGAGAAACCACAATTCTTTTTAAGTTAATATTAAAACATTCTTCTATTTTATATCATAATGTCAAATCTGCTGAAGACTGACTTTTATACACATAAATGTAAACTTAGATTTCCATTTCAGATTTATATCTCTAAGGACTTTCATATTCACTGACTTAGAGGTTTGAAAAGAACTTAAAATATTTTTATTCAATGAGATACTAAATGTGATTTCATCTTGCCAAGTGGTTATTATACCAAGACTTCTATAGCTTCAGTCATGGAAATCTCCCTACACAAATCACATCTCAGTATTTGTAGTTGTTCTCAGTAACCTTTTCTTCACCATTGTTTCCCCTGTACTAGAAAGTTACCTGAACACACTAAGTGCTCCATAAATTTTGTGGAATTAATGAAAAAAAATAGATGACTGATTATTGAAACGCACTCATTATCCTTTAAGTTTCTTTATAATTCTGCAGAATTTTCTTAATTCAAGCTGTAAGTTTATGCAAGCTTTCTCTTTTAAAAAAGGGAAACTTTAAAAAAAGTTGGCACATGTAAAATTCCAATAACGTCTGAATATTAGGGTTACTGAGAGTTCAAGAAGATATGTTATCTTCCCTGAATACAGAGACAGGCAAGTTGGAAATTGCTTATGTCTGGATAATTTTCATTTCAGCCTGCTTGAAGTGGAAACTTGAACCTTTCTCTAAACTGAGGAGGGAAGAAATAGTTCAAACTGATGATACTAGGACAAGGTCAACTCATATTATGAATAGTTAGACTTTTATGATCTTTGAGAAGAAAATTGTATATTGGATTTTATAGTATTCCTTTATTTCCACTTTGCTGAATTAGCCTAGCAGCACTACCCATAAACAGAACCTAAGAGTAAAGAGTTCTAATATTAGCACCTTTTATTATTACATCACTAAAATAAAATGCAAGTTAGGCCTGGTGGCTAAGGCCTGTAATCGCAACCCTTTGGCAGGCCATGGAGGGAGACTAGCTCGAGCCCAGGAGCTCAAGGCCAGCATGGGCCACATAATGGAATCCTGTTGCTACAAAAAATTAAAAAAAAACAGCTGGATGTGGTGGTGTGTGCACCTGCAGTCCTAGCTACTGAGGAGGCTGAGGAAGGAGGATCACTTGAGCCTGGGAGGTAAAGGCTGCAGTGAGCCGTGATCATACTACTACACTCCAGCCTGAGTGACAGAGTGAGATCTTGTCTCAAATAAAAAATTAAAAAATAAAATAAAATGCACATTTATATTTTGTAAATCTTATTCCCAAATTTATTCATTTAAGTGCAAAAAAGCATAAAGAATAATTTTGAAAGTTAAATCTGAAATAGTTAAATCCTGGTCTCTGGGTTCATGTTGAAAAACCTCATATGGAATGTTCAAAGCCAAATTAGGATTCAGAATGGTTATTCAGGGTTATGTTTTTTAACAAAGTTATTCATAACACCTGATGGCAATGATGAATTTGTGGTTGCTAAGTTAGTGTTGGACATTGCATCTCTAGGCATCTGATTAAGTGGGAGTTGCCATTTGCTGTGCTGTGAGTTGCCAACAAAAGCTGAACCTGTCACAGGTGTTACAATTTGTATTTCAGAAACTTTGCTTCCCCCAAGTTTAATTATCCCCAGAGTAGCCAACTCCATAAAAGTACTGAAGGAGTCAGCATTTTTCTTTTCAGTACTTTGATATAATTTAGGATTTTGTCTACTATATATATGTTGCAGAGATAATGGAATTTCAAATGAACGAGGAGGGACTTTTACAATATAACACTATTTTCATATTCATATTTCTGTTTTGAAATCAGAAAAAATAATGCAAACCAGCCATAACTAAATAGCACATTGATGAGACAAACCATGCTTCTTAGAGGAGAACAAAGTGTGAATCGGATAGAAAGTGTATAGGTTTTACCACTAATAACTAAACATTAAAAATGGCAAGTCCTAAGGCCCAAAATGTTAAATAAACTCAGGAATGACTTTTTCTTATCAAATATTAATGTGTGTTTCAAATCCATGGAAATAAGTATTTATCATTATTGTAATAGGCAGCCTTTCCTTTGCAGAGAGACCATTGAAATGGAGACAGATTGTGAAGAGAGTATTCTTTTGGCAAAGCAATCCCTCTTAACATCAGCATATATTAGCTCTTTCTTTTTTTCATAAAATATTTCTTTTTCAACACTTTAACGCAAAAGCCTGATGGGAAAGTTTCTCTAAATATTTCATTGAAGAGGTAGTGTTTTCAGAATTGACTGAGGTTGACTTGCTCAATTAGAGAAAGATCTTTGACTCTGAATATCTGTAAGAAGTTATTATAGTTATGAAAATGATTTTTAAGAGATTAATATTGTTCGACGACTTAATTAGGAAATATTCTATAGTTAAATCTCTTTGGAATATTTTTAAATGAGATTATTTATCTTTTTTATGTCCTTTTTTATTAATATAATTCCAACAAATGAAAATTATTAATTGAGAAATAAATGTGTTTACTAGTTACTGTTTAACCTTTGAATTACAATTACAATTTTATATTCTTGTAGGATTATTTAACCATTCATAAGTATGGTAATGCAGCCAGAAATGATCTCTGGAATACATTATCGGAGGTAAAGTATAGGAAGCTTAAATATCAAAACCTCTACTTGAATATTTGAATTGCATTTATAAGACATTCATAGCCTTTATTGACACCTGATAGTTTGTTTTTACTTTTTACATTTTTCATTTGTTCATATTGATTTTTTGTTTTATATAATATATTGTAAAATAAAGGGGTTTAAAACTAAACTACAAATGGTAGTAAATGATACCTCACCTACTTTCAAACATGACAATACTTCTGAAATATAAGTTTAACATGGTGTAAGATATTCATGTTAAAAAAAAATTGAAGTTTTAAATAATTTTTTCTATAGGTCAGATATTTAAATGTGACACTAGACATGATGGGAATAATTACTGATGCTTCAGGGATTTGCTTTAATAATAACATTTATTTTATGTTATGTAAAAACTTTAATGTTAATACAACTTTCATTTTTATATACATTTATGAAGCTTAACTTAGGGCAAGAAGATTAATTTCACTAACACATTATATTGGCTTCAATGACTTTAAATGTTTTCATATTTAGGTAAATAGTAAAAATAGAAATAAAAATGTCTTAATGTTAATAATGTTGATAATTCATGTTTATAAAACTAATTTGTACATTTTTCCTTGTGAAGGCTTTAAAAAGAAATGGGAAATATGTAAATATACAAGAAGTAATGGATCAGTGGACACTCCAGATGGGTTATCCTGTTATCACCATCTTGGGAAACACAACAGCAGAAAATAGAATAATAATTACCCAACAGCATTTTATCTATGATATCAGTGCTAAAACTAAAGCACTTAAACTTCAGAATAACAGGTATGACATTCTTTTTTACGTGAAAAATATTGTTTTTATTCTTACATTTGTAGGTTTAATATTTCAAAGAGCATTAATAACAAAATTCTGAAATATTGTAAGTGAAATATAGTTTTTGTTTCTTTATTTACACAAGTTACTTTGATTCTCCTTTTACTCCCATTTCCTGGATATCTGAACCTTCAAGCTGAAAAAACACCAAAGTTATTTGTTTAGGAAGACAGAATTTTAAATAATCATGGTGGTTAAAAAAATAAAATGTTATTTTTCACTTTTCCCCATGAATGTTTCTTGAATTAAATGCAAGAAGTTAAAATGTGTTGCTGTGAATTAAAAGGAATTGAGCAAACTGTGAGATTTATAAAACAAGTGAGAACAGAAACTCATAATGCAGAAAAACTAAAACAAAAATCAAATTAAATAATGTCTGAGTCAAAGGAATTTAAAACGATACCTTAAAATGATCTAATGATTAATGCCACTTAGTATCAACATATTTTCTCTTTCTTATTTTTAGTGTTTAAAATCAATAAACAGACAGCATACACAGAATCTTTATTTGTTGTTTCTTTAACTTTCTGCTGAAACTCATTTAATTACTGATAACTCAGCAAATAGCATTTTTCTTTCTTTTCTACTTTATGTTTTCTATTTTGTGTCTGATTAAAGTCTGAGCCAAAGAAAGATATTAAAACTTAAATCATTCCATTTCATTTCATTTAAGATGCCCTAGTAAGACTTTCGTTCCAGTGAGGGCTGGGGGCGGGGGTGGGGGATGGGAGCTACAGAAAGAGGGAGAGAAGTTAAAATTGATAAACGCAATGAGATGTTTGGATTGGGTTACTCATGCTGTCTCCCATTACCTTGGAAAATTAGGAGTCTGACTTTATCATTCACCCATGTCTAGGAGATCTGGAACAGACATTAAGTTTGCTTTGTCATCTCTAAGAAGAATGGAAATTGTTCTCCTGTAGGCTGGCTCCAAGACCAGCCAGTCACTCAATCTAAGTGACTGAGAAATTCATGAATGTTTCTGGTGACTACATTTGGAATCCGATTTAGGAAAGCAGTGTCTTCTATCTCTCTCTCCATATACAGTCTATATTTACCTTCAACATGCTACCCTTTGAAATCCAACTGTGTAGACTCATGGATTGTGCTAGTACCCTGCCACACTCTCACCACCTTTAGGGGCTGACTCTGTCAATGCTTCTTCCCCGAGCCTGGATTTCCCACATCTGCCAAGTGCTGTTTCTAATCTTCTGATGTCTGGCCCCAGGCAAAACAAGCACAAGCGTAGGCATCAACTCTGGCCTTGCCAGGAAGTACATAAAAACTACTTGACTGTGGCCAAGTTAGAGAGATTCGGGCCAGGCCTTTGAGAATGATCAGTGTGACACAAGCATCACTGATGCAGAAAAACATAAAGGACACGCAGATGACAGAACAAATTTTGAACAAAAATATTCTGTCAACCTATAACATACATCAGATGTACCAGCCAGGAGTCTGATTCTTTAAAGGAAGAATTTCTCCAAGGCTGTATAAGCATATGTAACATCTAGACAGCTTTGTCGGTTTGTCTTCTGGAATTATAAAATCATGCGTATGAATTTTTTTTTTTTTTTTTTTTTTTTTTTTTTTTGAGACGGAGTCTTGCTCTGTCTCCCAGGCTGGAGTGCAGTGACGCGATCTCGGCTCACTGCAAGCTCCGCCTCCCAGGTTCACCCCATTCTCCTGCCTCAGCCTCCGGAGTAGCTGGGACTAAAGGGCCCGCCGCCACACCCGGCTAATTTTTTGTATTTTCAGTGGAGACAGGGTTTCACCGTGTTAGCCAGGATCCTCTCGATCTCCTGACCTCGTGACCCACCCGCCTCGGCCTCCCAAAGTGCTGGGATTACAGGCGTGAGCCATATGTATGATTTTGAACTCTGAGAACTTGGCATATAAAATATTAAGAGTAAGATAATGCAGGACATCCTATTAGTCTCAAAAATGACTGACTTTCTATTCATTTTGCAATTATAGAGCTTGTAGCTGAAAATTTATTATTACAATTTCATATTATTGATCATTTAATTCACTATAACATCCTGGTCAAAGCTTCAATACGATTCTCTCTGGCCTATGTATATAGCCTTCCTAGATCTTTATTTTACAATGCAAACAGTTGATGGAGTAAAACCAACTACCGATCTATTCCAGAAATCCTGTGAAATCTGTATATTTTCTGAGCCAGGAAAATCAATTATTTGTCTTTTCATTTTTCTAAGAAATACTAGAACATCACTGCAATATGCCTAGAACATTTTAAGAGAATCCAGTAATTATATTTTTATATGTAATAGTTGTATTACAACATAGAAAGGAAAGATCTTTACATAACTGAATAGTCACATAAAGTTAGCTGATGTGTAACGGAGTATAAAATATATTCTAGAATTTTGGTACTTGGGAAGTTGTGAATTTGCGTAGCCTTTTTCATTATACAGTTAATGCATTGCAATGTAAAGTAATGATTCCCTATACACTGAGGAGCTTCTCAGCGTTCTTTGCTGCAGAGAATTTTACTAACCTCCACAGTCATACTTTCCTTCTCTTAATGCCCTGATGACAGTGACATCTGAACAGTTTTTCACAAAGTCTGGACAAATGCTTCATTAATATTGATGCTATTTTATAAAAAGATGTCTCATTCAGGTTTATATGCACCCATTCTTTACTACCTTAATATAATCATTAGAATAAAAGTTGCTTTATTATAACAATGAAAACGACTGATAAGAGAGGCAGTCCCAGGAACTGTTAAAGAAAAAAATATCTTGATGGGTCTTTTTTTAATGCTTAAAATAACGTGATGAAAATTCAAGTTAAACCGAAACAGCTGGAACACAATCTAATTTCCTAAGTTATTTTTTCTAATATCTTTTTAAACATAATCCATTGCAGTCTTGGATTTCTTTACAACATAGAGGGCTTTTCACTAAACTATGTTTAGGGTCTTCTAGTCTTTTAAGTTATAATCACAAAGCAGCATAATTATCAGGCTTTCCTTGATTTTAAAATGAAATTTATGAAAAGTCCACATATATGATATTTTGAAAGTTATGAAATGTATTAACAGTACGGTATTTCAAAAATAAATACAAATTTCAAATATGCTTGGTAACTTGGAACTTTTAATTTGTCTTTGTTACTATATGTAGATTTTCGTTATGTGTGTGCATACACAGAAACACACATAGAGTAGAGAAAAATTATTCTTAGGAAATAATAAATTTTTTTTTTAAGTTTTAAAAAATGCCTCAAAGTTTGTATCCCCAAACCTTATAGTTATAACTATAAGGTTTATAGTTTAACTTAGTTAACCTTATAGTTAACTTGTATCTGAACAGCTGTGTGATACAATGCCTGACATTTAGGAAGTGCTGTATGTATGTGGTATTGACATGCATGTATTTATGTGAATCGTTTTCTTGTATTTTAGATATTTTTTTCTAAAACCCAAATATAGAAACAAACCAACTTTTATCATAATCTCTAGTTGTTTAGAATAAATAATTTAAATACATGGAAATTATGTTTATATTAGGGGCAATGATTCACAAACATTTTATGATCATGCTACAAAAAAGACACATTTGTCCTTGAGAATTTTTAAATGTCCTCAATTTTCTATATTCTTTGCCTTTTAACCAGTACTTATTTGGCTTCACAATTTAGCTGAACCAACTCAATATGGAAGATATGTACTAAAGTCAAGTTTATGAAGTTAATCTGTCTTACCTATAGATGGGTTTTATGCCTTTTATTTCATTTTATTCCAAGTGCATTCAATCAGATTCAATAGTAATTTATGATTTAGAGTAGAAATGCCTTCTATTTTCAGGCTTTTTCAAGATCTAGGTACACAAAAATGAGCTTATCATTTAATTTGAGAATCAGACTCATAGTTGGGCATCATGGTCTCTTAACTAAGTATTCCAATTAACCAAGAGAGACCCAATATTTTTAGAGAACAACTGTTAATGAAATAGATCAGTTCTTTGTCTCTTCCTCAAATCTGTCATTAAATATCTGGGGCATATTTTTAAACCTATATTGAAAGCTTGGAAGTATTTGTTAAAGAGTTTACATGAGTTGTTGTTCATGAACTACTGTCTAAAGAGTCAATATAGATTTTGCTATTATAAATTGTTTTATTACCAGACCGATTGTATGGAGTCCTTATTAGTATAGCATAGTATCTCCACATAGTTTGCCCTCCAAAATGTTTTTTTTTCATTAAGTATAGGATATAGTTTTAAAATTAAGAACTGTAAACATATTATTTTGATTTTCCATACTGGAGATAGGATTGGTATAAAATTATGAATTTCTTCCAACCTTCCATTTGGACTCTTTACTATTACTGAATTCTGTTTATTGTGAATGCAAAACATGGAATAATAAAATAGTCAAATTTCACACGACAGAGTCATAGGAAATGCCCTTCTCTCTCACTCCCCAAAAGACATATTCATTATAATGTTTATTATCCCCAGGCATGTTTCCCGAACATTTTTTAATTCTTTATTTATTCTCACAGTTATTGAGATCACGCAATATCTTGTCTTACATTTCTAAAACAGAAAAATATTTTTTCCATACTGGAATTGTTGGCTACCCTATTGATAACGGTGAAATGATAGATTGAAATAATCTGGCTATATTTCAAGAAGGAAACAAATATAGTCATTGGACTTATTGTAAGACCATCCAGCATATCTCTGGCTATTCATTTGAGATTAAACTGACATTACTGCATGTATAAGTATAGGCCTCAATTTTTATCCTATAAAAAGGTAAATGTTACAAAATGCTTCTTTTTAATAGTTGAGTTTCATGATTGGTCCCTGCACGTTGGTGGATGCTTTGACACATCAAGCTAGAAATTCCATTTCACAAAACAGAGCATTAAGTGTGTCCCACAATATTCTTTCTATTGATCTGGATTGTATGGGAATCTGACTAGTTTTTTTTTCTTTCTGCTGAGTAACTTTAGATACGTCATATTAACTTTTCTGTAAAGTACATTAATAGTGTCCTACAGAGTCATTAGATAATAAATAAGGAGAATATTAAAATGTAAATGCATGAAGCCACTGAAATGTGTCTTAATCTAACATAAAAACAAGTAGAAAGAAGTTATGTTTAGACTTTAATCAATATGGCTCAGGTGTATAGATATTAGGTACTTTCTATTTCAAATTCAAAATGCGAATCTTTTTTCCCCCAAGAAAAATGGTTTTGTTGGCAGTTCTCTTTGCATTGCAATTAAAATTCTTAAAGGCCAAGTCTTCTTAATGGCATTGAAAGAGTGAATTCATCTTTTTGACCTATGCCTTACTTTTGTGACCGGAATTATTTTTTTTTAGTTCACCTAATGAGAGTAATAAAAATCACACAGAAGGCGCATGGGAAATGTTTTTTGTTTTTGTTTCGATATAGTTATTTTTATTCTTAAAGCTTGTCTTTTATTTTGCAGTTACCTGTGGCAGATTCCATTAACTATTGTGGTAGGAAATAGAAGCCATGTGTCTTCAGAAGCAATTATTTGGGTGTCTAACAAATCAGGTAAACTATATATTCTCCCCTGAGGAAGTATCTGGTTTCAGATAATTGTTTAGCAACTTAACCTCTGGTTTCAGCTGTTATAAAATGTGAATAAAGACAAATTAGAAAGAGAATATAAAGGAATGATTATCAACCCTATAAAATTAGATATAGTATAGTTTCTAAATAGTCTAATTTCAGTTTATATAATTACTAAATTATTTGTTTCTTTAATGGTAAAGAGAAAACTTAAAAATAAGTGTAATACTAATCTTAGGTGTTTAAAATTGTATTTCTTTATAACTCCACATGTAATTAAAATATAATTATAACCTCAAAGAGAAGAGTGTGCCAAATACTGAAAACACAGGTCTCATTTTTACACTTTCCTATCTTCTCTTTACCAGACTGTCTCTTTAAAAGGTGAGAGAGGCAATATTCTCCATGGAATTATATAATTACAGGGCCAGAAGGTGGGGGGCTTGGACAGGTTAGCAAGCCATCTCTTAGGTGGGGTCAAACCTCAAGGAGCAGAGAGAGATGAGATTCTATTCTCTTTCTAAATATCTTCAAATAAGATAGTGACCTATTTCAATTTACTGTCAGAAAGCTATTTCTTGAATCCAAACTATAGCCTTCATTCTACAGTGTGAAACAGGTCCCTTTTATTTCTGTTTTCCACTGAGTTAGAGAAAAAGCCAATTATCATCTTTTATGTAACATTTCATTTAGATTTAGATAGTCAAGTGTGCCCAGATATTGTTTTTCTTACTCCTTCCTCAGATGCTGTTAATTGATGTTATTTTGCTCTCTCATAAGCCTTAGTTTAAAAAGCCACATATTTTTTATTTGAAATAGGGTGAGGTATAAATAAATAAACAAACACAGTTTCTTCTCCTCAGCCTTGCTATTATAAGGGAGGTTTACATGCTCAAAATACATATATGTATACATGCAAGAAAACGTTGTTACAGTAAAATCTAATCTGGTTGTCAGCAGTACGAACACTTACAGTTCCATGCAGATGTTTACATACATTTTCAGGTTATTGTATTTCTAACACATAAAGACATACGACGAAAACATATGCTTTTATTTATATACGCTGTATATGAAGCATTGATAAGTAATGTAGCAATGCATTGAAATACTTTAAAATTTGTTGGTGTTTTTTTCCTTTTAAATTGTTTATTATAATCTATTCTTTCAATTACTGGAATTAGTATTTATATTGTGATTCTGAATTCACACTTCCTGTATTATTTGATTTTGTATTTGTCTTTTCCTGTCATGTAGTTGTTTGTCTACATAAGTTGTTTGTGAAATGATGAGGGAGAGCAGTGAGTTGTTATAATGATCAAATTAGAAAGAAGTCATCGCTCTATAGGATTCCTGTGAGGTGTGATAGAACTATCTTCAGAAATAAGGTAGAATATTTTTCTTTGGAAGGTAGAATGGAAATGGGAAAATTAGAAGAGGGTAAAGATACTGATCAAACATGGGGATTAGCCCAAAACTTCACTTTTAGATAGTGCAAGGATTCAGGATGAGTAATTCTGGTGGATACCTTTCCGGGTCCATTTCTTCTAACTTCTTAGTTATTTCCATGCTGTTATGCATGATGTATTTTTATCTCTCACAGAATATCAAGAATAGTATCCCAGGCTGGGCGCTGTGGCTCATGCCTGTAATCCCAGCACTTTGGGAGGCTGAGGCAGGTGGATCACTTGAGATCAGGAGTTTGAGACCAGCCTGGCCAACATGATGAAACTCCATCTCTACTAAAAATACAGAAATTAGCTGGGCATGGTGGTGGGCACCTATAATCCCAGCTACTCGGTAGACTGAGGCAGGAGAATCGCTTGAACCCAGTAGGCGGAGGTTGCAGTGAGCCGAGATCGCGCTATGGCACTCCAGCCTGAGTGAGAGAGAGAGACTGTCTCAAAAAAAAAAAAAAAAAAAAAAAAAAAGAGTAGTATACCAGCTTTCCTTGACCAATAGCCACGGGTTATGTTTGAGGGATTGCTTTCCTTTACAGTCTTTCATTATTATTCAAGAATAAAACAATGTATTGGTTCAAACCATATGTTTGCCTAAAATATCACCTATCTTGATATGTGTGGTCCTAATATACAGCTGCAGCGTTTGCGCAGTAGATAACTGTAGGAGGCGCTATTTGCACAGGCGGTGATATGAATGGCACAGGCCCTCACCCCAAAGTTGTGTAAGGTGCGACTTGGACATTTTAATGAAAAAGGACACATTCATAGCACTATCTTCTGTTTGATATAACATTGCCACATTTAGAATGTTAAAACTTTTGCAGATTGCCCATACGAAGATAATGTTTCCTGAAAATTTTGTAAATACAAAAATCTGCAAAGTTTACAAGAGGCATCTAAAGGACTGAGCACTTTCCTGTTTTGCCTTTTCAGTTCCAGTTTAATTGTATTAAATTTTTTTTATGAAGTCCTTCGTTCTGATGACTAATAAAAATTTAACAGCAAACAAAAATTAGGAAAAAAAGATAAAAGATTGTTAATTTTTGTTTCCTTTTGTGTGTTGTCCCATCTCCTCTTTTTCAAGATATTGTCAACTAAATCACAATGAAAACTGTTTTTCCACAAAAACATGAAGAAAAAATTCTGTTAAATTCTTTTAAACATATGTAAAACAGTTCCATATTTAATTATAACAATCAGGTCAATGTTTTTGTAGTTTTTCATTGTCCTTAGTGATGCAGATTTTATCTACATGATATTAAGGCAGTCAGTGGTGGATAATATAAAGTACAAATTAGATTTGGATCGTCCTATATTCTTGTCAGTTCAATTTTTGAAAGTACTTTGGATAAATATTTAATTAATGCCAAGGTAAAGCATAGATCATTTTAGCCTAAAAATAATTTTTAAACCAATTTTTCAGTTTTAGAAAACAGGTTGAAGTGTTTATCTTTTTCATTCTTATTATGCAAATACCAAAAATTCAGACATTTGTAAATGTAGTAGCTTGCATGTTGACTGGCTATTCAATTAACGGTTCATGGAGAGGAATAAATGTAATGCCAAATGTTAGGAAAGAAAATATTAAAATAGAAGAGAAATTGATCCTGAAAATTAAAGCAAACATGAAAAGTAGCATAATGCAGTAGTGCTTTCTTGAAGCACTGGTTTATTTGAGATTCACAACCTTTCAAATGTGCATTATTTTGTCCCCATTTTACAAATGAGGAAATTAAGGCTTGAGAAGTAATTTGTCCAAAATATCAGTTGATTACGTAAAGAGGTGGCTTTAGAAAGTTGGCTTCCTTTGCTTCCTACCGTTCCCCTGACTCTGCAAACACACACACACACACACACACACACACACACACACACACACACGATTTATTGCTATGGTAGATTGCTTTACGGATCTGTCAGTTATTTAATATGATGTCTTTGATATGCACAGGATTCTTTATAGGTTTTACAAAATATCCTCATTTGATTTTCACAAAATTCGAGTGAGAAGACCAGTATGTATTATTTTCCCTGAGTTTGTCTCACATTTTTACTCTGGTTGACCTTTTTAAAAAATTTTTAAATTCCAATTCTTTGCAACCGGCAAATATTGCATAGAGATACCTAATCTCTTTTCCCTTTTTATTCCAACAGAAAGTAAAAAATATAAAATCTTATAAAATACCAACTACTCCGTACCTCAATAGTCTAAGCCTTGTGCCATTTTGGATACATTCTAAATATATTTTTTAATTATTATTGCCAGCATCAAGATATAACTTCCATACATTTTATTATGGTACTCATCAAATACCATACCTCATTAGGCCATTGGAAAAGATCTCTTTAAAATTCATTGCTTGCCATCATTTAATTTGAAGAACATTTTAGGGATATAATTAACTAGAACTGAAAAGATAGTTAAAAATCTATTACAAAAATTTTCAGGGAATCATTTCTCCAGCGATCTCGTTTGTAACAAAGGCATAAAAATATTCATGAACAGTAATAACCTTCAGGTTTTAGTAGTACATTTAATAATGACATACTTAAGAACAATAGAGGCCTGTCTTTCTTATTCTGGTCAGATGGTGTAGAAGGTACAGCAATTATTTTCCTATTTTAATATACATATTAACTTAAATTTGACTATATCATATCTATAAGTTGTTGAAATTAAGTTTAAAAACTAGATTCAAGCAAATCAAATGGGGCTAAGTTATTCTAGTTATCTAAAATGTGAACAGGAAATAACTTTAAAAATATAGTTACTGTTACAGGAATGCATGACCATTTCAAACTTGTAAAAATCCAAAGTATGTGTTTATATATTAAACTTGGTGCTTTAACATTATAACTTTTTGAAAAAAATAACACTTCTTAGATAAAATTTATCAACTTAGCTCAAGTGAATTCAAGTAGATTTTAAATATTTTGTGTTATAAAAATCTTAGTATACTTGAAGACACTTAGAGATTAATTAATTCTGCCTTCAAGGTTGCTAAGGTTTTTACAATAAAAAAGAAACAACATTCTCAATATTTAAGTTTCAATTTTCATTCACCGAATTCAGACATTATTAATTAAGATCTCTGTTTTGAGGTTATTTTAATTTTAAAGAATGGTATTTTCTCGTTTATTTATGTAGTCATTTTTACATCTTTAAAATAGATATGAAATTCTAAATTTTTGCAGCAATTGTTTGAATAAACACACTAAATTTTGAAAACTATACAATCATAGTTCTGGAGACTGGATAAATCATTTGCATTTTAGAAAAAATATCTGATGATTTATTTTTCTGAGTTCCATGGATTAAGTATAGTATATAAAAATAGTACATATAAATGTCTTCTTCCATTGAATCATAGATTTGGAAAGAACCTTAAGGGCCATTATTTGTCCCTCAGGTTACAAGTAAGGAAATTGAGGACCAAAGAGAATCAATAGCATAAATTTAAACACTTACGTATAGGAAAGCTGAGACAAGAATTTAGCTTTTCTTGTACTCTAGTACTCTTGTACTATAAAAGAATATAGTACTCTAATTCTTTTTCCAGTGCCATTTTCTCCCTTTCAAATCAACATTAGAATGTGAAAAATGTATATCATATTATAGTAAAAGTGTTATACCATCTTGTATCAATAGAATATAGCATAGTAAAAATTTGGACACTGAAGGCAGGAGATATAAGATGAACCACTTCCTTTCTTGGGTAATTCAATTAACCTGTCTGAGCCTTATTTCTTTATCTGTTCTAATAGACACAATTTATAAAGGTGGTGGGAAGTTGTGATATTAGAAATGATAAAGATTAAATTTTTATATTCAGTATACTTTGGGGTAGAAGTACATTCTATTTTACTGCAGATTTAAAAAAATTGATCATCTATAATATGCATTGGGTTTATTAGTTCACTTCATTCCAGACCTGAGAAATGAATGGTCATTTATGTCCACCCAATATGTTTTCTGGTATAAACTCTTCTTGTGTAGTCTCTACTTGAGAGAGAGTACTCTGTAAATGTATTCCTTCAAGGTAATGAGAGGGAAAATTTATTTTCTATTTTGAAGTCTGAATGTGTAAAAACTTTGACATTGGAGTAAGAACTAGAGATGTATCCCTACTCAGACCAGAAGCTTATGGTTTCTGTGATGCCTTTTATGGTTCTGAGTCATTGTAGAAATTAGAGGAGACCCATGTGGTTTTGATTTTTTTTCACCTGGATGTCAGACTATGTATGTCTGTGCGTATGTGTATACATTTAAAGTCAACTTCACTGTGTCAATTTTATGTAACATGAGACCTGAAAATCAACAACATAATTATTAGAACTGTGAACTGTGTTTCCATGGAGTCAATAAAGGCTACATGTGCAGTGAATAGTGTCCTCGCTCTGTACTATTTTTGAAGGAGTTAAATATGTAAGAAGTTATAATATTGTTTTTACTTTTTATTGGCTTCTGTTAATTGAATTAGCTGGTGAGGATAATCAAATTACCATTTTCCAAAGTGATCCCAATAAGCAGAATTTATTATCTTTGTTTCTAATTCTATATGGAAATATTAAAATCTTGAACAAGTAAGATTTATTTTACTAGCATTATTGATGATGTTGAAAAGTCTGTTATTTATTAGTTCTCTCAAGAAAGCACAAGAAAAAGGCAAACAACAGTGACTTTCAAGTAAATGAGCTCTATTGTTTTAATATTTTCTTACTGAATCAAATTAGTAGAATATGCATCTAAAACCTCTTCTTTCATTCTAGTGTCATATCCCCATACGATCTAATTAGAAGTTGCCTGAATACAGTGGTAGATTTCTAGGTTACAGTTACTTTGAGAAAGAAAATTATGTATAAGTAATGGGGTTTTGTCAAGAACAAAAATGCTAATTATAAGAAAACAATTAATTGAGATGATAGTGAGTAACCAATTAAAAGTTTTTCTAGCAAATTCTAGATGCAAGTGATTAATTAAAGAGTAGGCTTCAATTAGGTATTTAAGATGACATTCACTTAATTATTGGTATTGTTATATCTGGCGTTAAGAAAACATACTTCATTTCATTTTAACTCTTAAAGTTTGAAATCTATCCCAAAAATGCTTTTTTCAGAGCACCACAGAATAACTTATTTGGACAAAGGAAGCTGGCTGCTGGGGAACATCAATCAAACTGGCTATTTTAGAGTCAACTATGACCTAAGGAACTGGAGATTATTAATTGATCAATTAATCCGGAATCATGAGGTACACTCCAGATTTGCTTATCAAAGATAATTTTTGGTATGTGAACACCTACCATTTTAATCCTAAATTATCCTATTATTTTTTCTAATTGGCCTCAGGTTCTTTCTGTCAGTAACCGAGCGGGCTTGATCGATGATGCCTTCAGCCTAGCCAGGTATGTTTTCCTGTGGATCTCCCCAATAAAAACTTGTGCCTGCAAGACTTCCTGTATTAAACTGCATAATATGTATATGTCTTTTATTTAGGACATTTAAAAAAATCTATTTCTATCTTATGTTCTTTGACTTTGGATATGAGTTCTAATTAGTCTCCCAAACTTTCTATCAATAATAGCTATAGGGTATTTCTAAGTCAGGATAAGCTTGATGAATTTCACCACAAGGTCGATTTAACACTGAAGATTAATAGTCTCTTCCCAAATTCATTAATGAACTCTATAAAGTGACCATTGGGCCATATTTAAGTTCTGATAGAAATTACCTTGAAGCATTGGCAATTTTTCCCTGATGTATACTAGTATATCTTTTAAAAATGTTTTTGAATGTTATTCATTCTAAGAAGCTTATGCTGCAAAACAGAATTAAATATTCCACTGGGTAAGACCGTTCTTGACAAAATATATATCAATCTTGTAGAAGACTTTAGTTGTACTATAGTAATATTTGTGTTATTTTAATAATTAGATTTATAATATTCAAATTAGTTATTCCTTTGAATAGTCATTAAATGAAATGTTGCTCATAAACTGAAGCTATTTGCTCAATTTTGAGACTAAAATGTAAAACAAACTCAGTCCCTTTAATATTTCATACTGTTTCACAGCCAAGTACAGTTTTAATTTTAAAAATCAAATTATACAAGCTGTCAATTAAGACAGGTGACTCTCTTTACTTACCTGGTTATCATGATTTACCACATTTTCTTCTAAGATAATCAGGGGAAACTGGTTAGTTAGTAGTGCTGATATTAACACATGACTTATTTTAGTAATAGGCTTTTTTTCATGGGACCTGAAACTGCTTTTACAGTTTATGTATTCAATCAAAATTCAATTCTCTTCCATATGTTAAAAAGCATATTACACACTACAGGATTCTAATCCATCAAAATAATAAGCTTACACATAGAAGACTTGATAATTACTTTGATAGAAGCAAAGCCAAAGTTTGGGATCAAATTACAGAGATTGATTTTTGTAGAAACAAGCAATATAGAGGGGACAACATAAATATATAGAGGGTAAAGGAAAAAATTTCAGGTGCTTTTCTATTTAAAAAAATACTCTGACTTTTGCCTCCCTTATTGCTACTAAAGAAATAAAAAACATTGCTAATATTTTTCTTATTTGGTGAGTGATGCTGTATCAGTGCCTCATTCTGACCAGGCATGTACAATTTTAGGCACATATTTGCCTAATAATTGAATGGCAAATCTAAGGACAACTTATCAACAACGTGGAAATTGCTAATGAAATTGTACCAATTAATGTATTTGTGTAATAAGAACTGGGGTTCAGTTCTAGTAAAGATAAACGAAGGCTTTTCCATGCCATAGCACCATCTTATTGGGCAAAAATTTAGAAATAATAGAGCTACATAAAGGCCTGCTGAATCATGTGTGGAGATAATGATTAATATGTGGCTTTTGCTCTGCAGTAAAATCTGAAGTCTTTGTAGAAAGTTTTATGTACGAAAGAAAGATTATTTTGGCACAGAAGTTTAGAGAGTCCAGCAAGCCAGAAGGATAATGTATTTAATGTGATAATGTACTGAAAGAGAAGCAGAAAAAGAGAGAGTGAGGTGTTGAGTACCACAAAGAAAGGGTAAGGAACTCAAAGAAAGCTGTTTTCATTAGCTAAGAATTATTTAGCACTTTTAAGGAGCCAAATGCTTTTCTATTTTATATATAGTAATTTGTTTAATTTTCACAACTTTATAAGATATGTAGATAGATATTATTACTATTCCCACTCTAAGTGTGAGGAAATGGAAGCTCAGAGAGGTCACACAGCTGATAATTGGGAGAGCCACAGCCTGGATCCAGGTGGTCTGTCTTCAGAGCCTCTGCCATTAACCAGAGCGCTAAGCTGCTTCTTAGAAGTAATAGTATTTATTGTAATAAAAGAGCCAGAGGATATAGAAGGACTGAGGGGTTTCGAGGCAGTCGTTCATGTGAATCGTTACGGGTTTGAAATGATGGTGAGAAAGCAAGTAAGTAGTGATAGCCTAATGACAGAGGCCAGATGGAAATTAAAAGGAAGGGATCTGTTGACTCATCTGCATTAAATGATATAAGTTATTTTTAGATGAAATATTTTATTTAATTTTAGTGGATAAATTTCTTTTTCAAAAATTAGGTTTCTTCTTCCCTAAGACAGAACATTGCTTTCAATTCCAATTTTGCATGCTTTCAATTACAATTTTGGGAGCCTTAAAAGTTGAAGTAAATAATTTCATGATCATTTGTATAAATTCACCAGAAAAACATGGAATCTCATTGAATATATATTTATAATTTGTTTTATTGCTCAAGAGATAATTTTTCTATTACAGTAAGAGTAAATAAATACAAATTTAGATTCATTTAGGCAAATTCTCTGGTCTTACTTGGAGTTAAGGATTATTCATATTTCATTGTAGTATTGTAAATATTCCATAGTTTTGCTGTTCAGTCTATATCAACCTTCTCTCAATCTCCTAAACACATCGTGCACTCTTTGGCTTCTTTAAAGATAACACATAAAAGAATAGCAAATATTTATTAAATACTTATGCTCCAGGTACTGTTCTGATGCTTTTATGAATGATCTCCATCAGTCTTCTCAATGAACCAGTGGAGTGGGTGTGGTTACTTGTTGACATTTTATAGCTGAGGCATTGAGATTAAGAGAGGTTAAGTTGCTTAGGTAAGGCGGCACAGCTTTTGGAGCAGGGGTGGAGGAAGTAGTTCAACCCCAAAGAGTGACACAGCAGAGTCCATGACCTCAAGTAAGAGTGACTTCGCCCATTACATGAAATTTCTTGCTATCCTCATTCCCCTTGACTGTTGAGATTATTATCATACATTGAAAAAATGTATGATTTTACTCACCCTCCCTCATTGAGGACTTATCTGTCCTTCCCAGCAAAAGTAAGGTGATATTCTATGGATCTGTGTTACAGCAATTATCACCTTATTGCTCAACCACTTACTTTTCTGGTTTCCTGATAGTTCTTCAATGATGTGGAGGAGAAGCCTTTGTGTCATCCGTTTATTACTGCTGTCTACCCTAATGTTTGCTACAGGATTGTGCCCGTGTATATTTGTTACTTGAATTGATAAAGTAATTGTTAATTATTTAGACTATTAACTTTATGCCACGACTTGTTGTGAGATTAAGCAAACTTGCTCTAGTCATTCTTTATTTGGTTGTTTTTTAAATATATAAATTTGCCTGAATGCATTCTAATTGTAAAGGACTAAAACAAAACAAGAGATACAATATGAAATCTTCTTTTACTCCCTTCATTCCCTGCCATTTTATCCTGCTCACAGGTAAAATATTTGGCATGTATTTATCTAGCCATTTTTTCTTTACACTTTCTTACTGTTTAGTGTTTTTTTTTTTTTTATGAACAGAAAGTCTATTCTCTGACTCATTTATAAAAATAAATCTGGGGATCTTTTTATTGTTTCTAATTTTTCACTATTAGAATCAAGATTGCAATGAGTGTCCATGAGGAGTCTTTTGTTGTGTATGTGTATTTTTTTAAGATTTACTTTTGTAAGTTGAATTTGGGGTATGACTTTTTAAATAAATATTAGAAATTATATTCTGAAGCCTTTTCCAATTTAACCCTCCATCAACCATGTGTGAGCGGGCCCAATTTCCTCAAATCCTGCATTATAATGAATGGTATATATTTTTTAAACTTTTGACAGTCTAGTGGCAAAAGTGATTTTATAAAAGTTATTCATTACTGGTTAAAAAGAAGTTGTGCATCCTTTCATATACATTTGCTGTTTGTATGTTTTCTTCTGTGAATTATCACCAAATTAAAAACAAAAGATTAAAAACCTAATAGAAAATGAGCAAAGGTATTTCCTACTATTCTTTCCTATATATTTTGCATGTTTTTGGATATTAATCCTTTTTTGTAGCATACACTTTACAGTAGTTTTCACTCAACACTATGCTAATTATTTTTAAGCTTTGTGGTGGTTATCATTCAGAGGTTTTTAATATATATGTCAAGGCATTCCTTTTATAGCTTTCTGGTTCTGTCTCACATAGGGCTTCCCTGTCTGAAGATTTTGAAATATTCTATTTTTCTTAAGAGATTGTTTTTGTTTTACATCTGTCTCTTCAACCCTTCCTTCTCTGATCAATTTTTATGTTTAGAATGAAGTAAAGGTCTAATTTTCTTTAACTTTAATAAGTGCCAATTATTTCAATCCTACTTATTTAAAGGTTTTAATTTTTGTGGATTTGAAATGATATCTTTATCCTAATGCAAATGCCCATATTTTAGAGATTTTTTTTATTTTGCCTAACTGCTCTCTTTGTTCTTTTTTGCACCATCATATTGTTTTAATAGGTTTAGATTTATTGTATGTTGCAGTTGCCCAAATTTTATCTTGTTCTTATTCAGAATCTTACATATTTCCATTCAATATAAATTTTAGAGTCATTTTGACAAACTCTACTAAAAAATCACACTACAGTTATGACTAGATATGCATTAGATTTATAAATCAATTTGTACAGTATTAACATCTTTTCAAATTTGAGTTTTCCAGCGATAATGTTATTTGTCTTCATTTATTCAGGTCCCAAAGTTAAGCCCTATGGTTTTATGTACACGGGTTCTGGTAATATTGTGTTATTTCCTCATTTTTGAAAAGGTATATGCTGCTTTACAGTCTGGCACTGTTTTCACACTTATATATTATAAATTTCAATGCTTGCAGTTAGGTAATCAATTAATTGCCTTGCAAGTTCTATTGTATTATGGCTTGCACTTTAAAATTAGTAACTAAAATGCCTAGATATTTGTGTTGTTGGGTGTTTGTATTTGTTTTTTGTTTTTTGAGATGGAGTTTCACTCTTGTTACCCAGGCCGGAGTGCAATGGCATGATCTTGTCTCACTGCAACCTCTGCCTCCTGGGTTGAAGTGATTCCCCTGCCTCAGCCTCCTGAGTAGCTGGGATTACAGGCACCCACCACCATACCTAGCTAGTTTTGTATTTTTATTAAAGACAGGGTTTCACCACGTTGGTCAGGCTAGTCTTGAACTGCTGACCTCAGGTGATCCACCCACCTTGGCCTCCCAAAGGGCTGGGATTACAGGCGTGAGCCACAGTGCCTTGCCTGTTTTTGTTTTTTGTTTGTTTGTTTGTTTCGATAAAGCATGGTTATATTGGGGGATATAAAAGTGAACAAGATGCATTTCTTATTTTCAGTGAACTCACAATCTAGCAGGGAAGATGCATGGTACGTAACTCACTATATTCAGTATATACATTCTATGAATAAAATGTTATGAAAGCATTAAGGAGTAAAGAATTAGTGTGGCCTAGGAAGATTATGGAAAACATCAAAATATCCTATAGGAAATACCATCGGGAGAGTGAAAGTTTACTATGGGAATACATTAAATGCTTAAAAGTAAGAGAATGAAAGCAAAAAAAAAAGTATAAACTAGAGAATAAACGTATGGCAGAACTATTACAGCAGCAATGCCTCATGGCACAATTTGGATAAAGCAGAGATTTGAGATTTCTCTGGAGTGGAATTGGCAGCCAGATAAGGTGAAAATTCTTACTTAATTGTTGAAATTATTTATCAGTTATTATATGATAGAAACTAAATATTTAAAAGATTTGCAATAGAAAATATAATCAACGGGTTGGGTATTTAAAGCTTTTAACATGCTCTGAGTACAATTTTTTAAAGTTATAAATGTGCATATCACTGGGTTGTGAATTCACATGGCATTATTTGAAAATATCCAAAATACATGAAAATTATTTGGAAAATTGTGTATACCCAAAAGCATCACAGGGTTAAATCATGATCATCATTATCATCATCATCATAAATATCATCATAGTCCTCCTTGCCCTGGGCAGTTACTATGTTAACTTTAAAAATTTAGTCACCAGTTTCCTGGAATATTCAATTTTGCAAAACACGTGCATATCTATTGTGTTTTTAATATCATAACATACTTTTTAAGCATGTGTAACATTTTTAAAATTCTGTTATAGACTACTCTGTTAAAAAATCCAGTCGTTTACAAATTTTCCCATGATGAGGGCAAATTATTTTTAGTTCACAAACTTTGTTAAGAAATAAGACGTTACTTTTTTGTAAATTATTAGTGTTTTATTAAAAAGCATAAGGACCTGTGTCTAGAGATTATGTTTGTCCCTCTTAGAAGTGCTGTAGGCACCGGGCGCAGTGGCTCACACCTGTAATCCCAGCATTTTGGGAGGCCGAGGTGGGCAGATCACGAGGTCAGGAGATCAAGACCATCCTGGCTAACATGGTGAAACCCCATCTCTACTAAAAATACAAAAAATTAGCCGGGCAAGGTGGCAGGCGCCTGTAGTTCCAGCTACTCGGGAGGCTGAGGCAGGAGAATTGCTTGAACCCAGGAGGCGGAACTTGTAGTGAGCCAAGATGGTGCCACTGCACTCCAGCCTGGGCGACAGAGCGAGACTCCGTCTCAAAAAAAAAAAAAAAAAAAAAAAAAGTGCTGTAGGCACTAGAGAGCAGTCATCAGTAGTGCATAATATATGTTTGATGAATATATAAGTTAAAAAATAATACGCTTTTATTTACTTGTCTAACAGCTTATACATTTGAGATATATTAGAAGCCTGGGAATTCAGCATAATAGCCACTGAAAATATAATGGCTAAAGAAGAAGAAAATTATGAGAACATTTCAAAAACTTACAGATTTTTTTTTTCATTTCTGAGCCTGGTTTCAGAAATGGAAACAGCATTGTTAAAATAACCTTAACAACATTTGCAAACTGTGGAAGTAATTTGCTCCTTTTGGGACATTTTTCGGCATGGCTTTTGTTAGAAGTTTTTTTGTGTCTTCTGGATGGCTCTCTTGTACCTCGTTTAAGGTTTCTCTTGCAAAACATATGTTGATCATTTTTTCACTTATTGCAGTAAATAGTAGTATAATGTGCCTGAAAAGCAAGTGCACCCTGACCCTGGCTAGATGAGTAGCAGTTTTTCCTGCTTTGATAGCTGGTTGTTTAAATGTGTAATGTGCTAACGTTTCAAAAATGAAATTGAGAAGGAATTATAAACCTTTTGTGAGAAATACTTTGGCAGACTGGACTTTTTGTTTTGATTTCCTCACTCTATAATGGAGATAACAGGACTACATCACTTCAACTGAAAACTGCCATGAAAAACCTGATTAAGGATCCTAGATCCCTCTAATATCCTGCCTAATGCTTTATAACTGTTGATTTTATGAAGGATGCTTCGTTTCAAAATTATTTATTTAATCCCTATCTTTTTCTGTTTTTACAGTACTATACAAATCTCAGTATAAACATTTTTCTTTTAGTTGTGTTTTACAATGAAATTATGAGCATTATTAATAATAATAGAACATTGATTTGAATGTATTGTTTATTGCTGTCATTGGACATGGAGAGAAGGATGACTCTTCAGCTGTTTGTATTAGATTCATTTGAGAGTGGCGTCCATGTATGGTTATAGCTCTTAGTTATCTTTTGTTAAACCACCAGAATATGTGTGCAAAAGGATAAATATTAAATGATTATGAAGTCCTGAAAGTTATAAAATTATTTATTGCAAACTACGATTTATTGTTGACTATATGCTTCCACTCTTCTGCCATTGACCAAAAGTTATTAAAATTAGCTTGTTGTTATCCTCTCAGCCTTTCTAACCGGTATAAGTTGTTCCATGATATGAGCAGTGTCTCACAGTGAATCGTTCCAGGAGCTTCATGGCCATTCCCAAAAGATCACATTTCTCACATCTCTGAGGTTGGGGATTCTAATTATCTATTTGTCATCATCAGTGAAGGCTCAGTCTTGAGACATGCAAAAAAAGTCACCTTGAAGCATTCCTGTTTTATACCTTTCTGCATGCAATTATTTAAAAATTCATATCCAAAACACCTCTAAATTAGTCAGTTTATGCAACACTTTGCCACAGATAAATGTTAAAAATAGTCTGAAAACATTTTCAGGACATTTAACTGTAACAAGCTGGGAATCTTTAGACTTATTTCTATTATAACTCAGTAAAAGCCTAGAGTATATTTCTGGATTTTCAAGCTACACTGTTTCTGCAGGAATATGCTGGTTTGCTCAAGGTTAGAGATTGAGTTAATACATTCCTTTGAGCTGTCTTTAGAAATCTGTTGAGGGTGGAGTCACAGATGTTGTCCTTGGGATGAGGATTTATGAGGAGCTACTATACCAGGTACTTATGAGAAGTACAAATCTCCTGAGGCATTAAGGGCAGGCTTGTGGCTCTAAAGGATGACAAACTTTTTTTTTTTTTTTTTTTTTTTTTTTGAGACGGAGTCTCGCTGTCGCCCAGGCTGGAGTGCAGTGGCGCAATCTCGGCTCACTGCAGGCTCCGCCCCCTGGGGTTCACGCCATTCTCCTGCCTCAGCCTCCGGAGTAGCTGGGACTACAAGGATGACAAACTTTCTTAGAGACTTTTAGATTGTGCTGCATTAAATCAAAAGCAAATTTGTAACCTTCCAGTACCAAATTTGTGTTTCATCTCTATAGTAGAAAATGTTTTAATATTAATGCCTACTGTCTGAGAGTGCTGAGTAGAAAGTAAAAGCAAAGTATTTTGACATTATTCTGTAGGTTTGGTCCATTTTATTTTTTTTCAATTGACATAATATTTTATGTATTTATCATATACAACATGAAGTTTTGAAGTATATGTATGTTGTGAAATGGTTCAGTATTGCTAATTCTTGTGTGCATGATCTTACATTATTTTTGTGATGAGAACACAACATTCACTCTCTTAGCATTTTTCAAGAATACAATATATTGTCATTAACTATAGTCATCAAGCTGTACAATGGATCTCTTGAAATTATTCCTTTAATATAACTATAATTTTGAATCCTTTGGCCAATATCTTCCCAGATCTTTTTCCTCCAACAACCCTAGCCTCTGGCAACCACTGTTCTAGTCTCTATTTCTATGAGATCATCTTTTTTAGATTCCACATATAAGTGAGATTATGTGGTATTTTCCCTTCTGTGCCTGGCTTATTTCACTTAACATAATGTCCTCCAGGTTCATCCATGTTGTCACAAATGAGAGGATTTCCTTTTTTATGGGTAAATAGTGTTCCATTTTGTGTATATACCACATTTTCTTTATCAGTTCATCCATTGATAGAAACTTAGGTTAATTCCATATTTGGCTATTGTGAATAACTTTGCTGCAATAAATATGAAAGTGCAGATATCTCTTTGACAGAAACAGTACTCTAAAAATATCATATTGTCCCTATATTCTCCTAATAAGCATATAGCCAAAGTAGAGCCTTTGTGTTGGGAAAATCTTATCTTTTTGTCACTATTTTTATCATCTTCTGAGGGAAGCTCTGCCTCTGCCTGGTGCCTGCCATTTAACTGACTACTATTATCTGCACATGCCTGAACATGACCAGTGTATACCATGGCTGTTGGCAACCATTTGCTTGAAATTGCTTAGCTAGTATGGGACTATAGCCTCTACAAGTCATTTTATGTCTGTTTCTTCATATCATTTTTAATTTTATTAAAATTTATATGTTGATCATTTCTGTATTCTAGAAATTCATTTCGTCTTTTCTCTTTCTTCTTTGTCTTACATTTTAAACACTAATCTAAGTCTGTATAATTTGATTTCCTTTCCCGATTGGTAAGATCATTGGCTATCAGGTTACATAGAGTTGGAATTCTTGCTCTATGAAATAACTGACAATAAATAAATGTTATTTTTGTTCGGTCCCTTTCCTACATTCACAACACGTACTTATGGTCACTCCACAGTAAATAGACATCATTGTTATTTCCTCTATACTACCTTACAATCCACCATATTCATTGATCTTCTGAACCGACCCCTTTCCTAGGCTGCGCCAAACCATCTGTAAACACACATCCTAATGCCTACTCTAAGAGGAAGTAGAATATGACTAAAGCATACCTGGTTTTGCTTCTACTAAAGAGGACAGAAACTACTTGCTTTTTGATTTGTTGTAAGAAGTCTGACAGGGACTCAGCCAAAATGGGACATTCTATTCTACCAGAAAAGAAAATGAGAGTTTTGAGGTAGACAAAGACTACTGAAAAATTAAACTGAATCCTTCTGGCATTTGTCCTGTCAATGTAAAAGCCTCATTTTTATAAAGATCTCTATCTACTCTGTTTCTCAAACAACTCAAAATAAAAATCCTCTTATTCTTATTATGATTAGTTAAACTCTAAAGAAATTTTTAAAATGAGGAATATATGAATACAGGTACTAATACAGGCTTTATGTTTGGGTAATTACTTATTGCTTTAAGTTGTCTCATTACGATCTTTTCCCACCTCAGAACAAAGAGTCAGAGGAGCCTTCTGATAATCATCTTTCTTACTAAACATGCTGATTAGCCAATGATAAAGTAAAGAGCTGCTCATATTTTTTATCCCAGAACTCATGAAATCTATTTTTGGCTTCAACTGTAGGCAAGGTAGCAATGCTATCATGATAAGAATAAGATAATAGAAAATAAGCATTTTACATTATTTTACACTAGTCATAAATATAAAAGATTCCATTTTTAACTATGAAAAGGTGATAATTTGGGGAAGAAGATAAAGGAAATCTAGTTCTAAGATTTTGTGCAATGAAGTGAGTGGTTAATTTGAAGTAACATACACTTTGTTTATGTGGGAAATCGTAAAGCCTTAGGAGGAGATTTGAAATACATGATGTTCTCTCTTAATTGCATGCAATTTGAGCTATTCCTTGTGGAATGCTTCTAATATCCTTATGTGGAGTGGAGTATCATTGAAGAGGCCTTCACTATTTTGGATGTAAGAAAACATCAGATTAGGAAAATCTGACTTGTTGCAACTATGTCAACGCTTGCTTAATGTTAAAGATGTGAGTACAGGCCAACACAGAAGCTAAGAAGTAGTTCTGGGCCCTGTGAACTCAGATCACATTTGAATCACAGATTAGATTCTTCCTTCCTAAACTAGGAATGGCCTGGAGTGCAGTTGATTCACGCCTCTAACGGGAGGTAGCAGAGGTTTCCTGTTGCTCAGCTGCTTCATCTAATTAGGGTGAGGATTAAACAGAAATTCAGTATAAACTCTCCAGGACACCAGGTGGTCATGCTAACCAAAATGAAAAAAAAAAAAAAAGAGTTTGCAATAAGGAAGAAAATATTGTTAGTCTAGAAGTCTGTGTTTGACAAATTCAAGTAAGGCTAATAGGCCCTGAAGAGAATAATGATTGAATATCAGAATTTTATGTGGATGCTAACTTAAACACACTCTAAATTAGAGGGCAGTTATTGGGAATGCTGTCAAAAATGCCAAAATAAAAAAGAACTATAGATGAAAATTAGTTGGTGTTGCATTCCCAGTGTGCAAATATAAAAAAGTTAATTGTGTAAGCTGAGGGCAGATCATGAATTTTATCCATGACATGTTGAGGGAAATATTACTTATCCTTTTTCAACTGATAGTGAAACTACAATTATTCACAGAAAAATAGTTACTGTGCAGAGCAATTAAGTCTCTGGCCTCCCAGTTTACTGTAGTTTTTAAATTTTCATCTTTGTAGAGTTTCCCAGTTTCCTATTTCCCTTTATTTTAAAATGTTTTTGAATTCTGTTGAATTTTAACATTGGTAGATTATCAGTTTTTTTAAGTATGGAGAGTTGAGAAATGCTTAGGAAAATTTTTGTTTCAACAGATGCAATACGTAGGTTATTTCAATAAATTAGGTATACAGCGTAGACATTAATGAATTTGTAGATAGATGATAGATTGGTAGTTACGTAGATAGATTAGATAGATAGATGATAGGCAGATGAATTATCTGAAAGTAAGTAGATCTAAAAGTAGATGGATAACAAAGATAGAGCCATAACACTTCATGCTATGGTGAAATCACTATATTTAGCCTCAGAAAGACATCTTTTTTATGGTGTCATATTAAAAAAATTATACAGAATTTTAAAATTAAAGGATTGCAGCTCATATGTAGTTAAAATGAATTCAAGTGATTTTCTTGGTGGAATAAAGATATTACTGAGAGATAAGTATTTTATACACATGAATTATATACTAAATAGCTATCACATGTAACATAAGTTACAAGTGTTTGATGCAGAAATTTTAAAATATTCACCTACTTCAAAGATATGGTAAACTAAATGTAAGGCAGAAATATGTTCTTAATTTGTTGGTCTGTTTTTTAAATTTTAAAATTTTAAAAACACATAAAAGCTTATAGGAAAATCTTTCAATATTTAGTTACCAGGTTTGTATGTGCTATCATCATTCGATACCTATTTCTCATTGCAAACAAGTCAGTTTCTGAAGTGTATATCCACAATATTAAATGAACTATATGTTCCCCTTATCCTGTACTGGTAAGCGATCAGCAAGCATCTTTCACGGACAAAATAAAGATCGTAAGAAGCATGAGAAGCACTTCACAATGCTTATAGTGCATTGACCTTTCTTATTTTAATTTTTGATGCTTGTTAGTAAGAATAATTAACAAATGGCAAATTCTGTAATACAAAGTTAGTCAGTATTATCTTTCTGTTATTTAATAGCTTTGTACATTTGGAAAAGAGTTATTTTAAATATGGTGGTCAGGGAAGCCCTCATTTTCCAGTTGATACTTGAGAAGTAGTTTGAAAGAAGTAAATAAGGGAACCATCTGAGTAGAGCATTCCAGAGGAACAGCAAGTGCAAAGGCCCTGAGGGAGCATGTGCTTGGCATGTTTAAGAAAAAGAGATAGGTAGATGTGGCTCTAATGGAGTAAGTAAGGAGCATTGCAGGCTGAATGTGTTTAGGCAGGAAAAGGACATTGATCATGTAATAAACTATTGTGAGAATTTGCAGTTTTTTTCAGAGTAAAAGGTAAAGCATATGGGAGGGTTTTGAGCAGAAGAGTGACATGACCAGGCCTGTGTTTTTAAAGGATCACTGACTCTGTCTGCTCTGTTAAGAATATACTATGAGGGAATGAGTGTGGAAGCAGGGAGCCTAGTTAGAAAGGTCATGAGGACAAACTCCATAAAGACTGTTGTTGAAGATGATACTATGGCTATTTACCTGGTGTATTAGTCCATTCTCATGCTGCTATGAAGAAATGCCTGAGACTGGGTAACTTATAAAGGAAAGAGATTTAATTGACTCAAAGTTCTGCATGGCTGGGATGACCTCAGGAAACTTACAATCATGGTGGAAAGGGAAGCAAACATGTCCTTCTTCACAAGGTGGTAGGAAAAGGAAGTGGAAAGCAAAGAGGGAAAAACCCCTTTTAAAACCATCAGATCTCCTGAGAACTCACTATCACAAGAACAACATGAGGGTAACCACCCTCATTATTCAATTACCTCGCACTAGGTTTCTCCCACACGTGGGGATCATGCGAACTACAAGGTGAGATTCGGGTGGGGACACAGCAAAACGATATCACCTGGTAAGGATCAAGAGATGCCCAGAGCACCCTGGTAGCCTCTGGAGTGACAGAGGTTCACATATCATAGTTGAGATGCATGCAGATGTTTTCCTTTAAACATCAGTCATTATGTTGGGTGAATAATATATTTTCTTATGATCGATCTGATTTGTATTTCTCTGATGACCAATGATGTTGAGACTCTTTTCATATGCTCATTTGCTTTTCTTTTTTTCTTTCTATTGCACTTTTATTTTTTTCTTACACTTTAAGTTCTGGGATACATGTGCAGAACATGCAGGTTTGTTACATAGGTATACATGTGCCATGGTGGTTTGCTGCACCCATCAACCCATCATCTAGGTTTTAAGCCCCACATGCATTAGGGGTTTCTATTTGATAGAATTTACCATACATATTTGATAAAATTTACCATCAGATGGGTGTGATGCCATGTGAGCCTGAAATTCTCTGTATGGGAAGGTCCTTAATTGTGAATTTAATTTTGCTCATTGGTATAGAGCTGTTCAAATTTTGTTTCTTCTTGAGTCTATTTTGGTAATTTGTCCATTTCATCTAGGTCATTACAGTCATTGGGATAGACTTATATATAATATTCTCTTATTATTCTTATAATGTCTTATGAGTTTTGTGAAAATGATTTCTCTCTTATTACAGACATTGATGTTTTGTTTTCTCTCTTTTTTGTGATTCTTTTAATTAGAGTTAATTTGTTGATATTCTCAAAGAATCGGTTTCTGGTCTTGTTAATTTTTAAATTATTCTATTTTCTATTTCATTTATTTCTACTCTTTATTGTTTACTTCTGTCTGCTTAAAATTTAATCTGCTTTACTGTTTCTAGTTTTTTAAATGGAGTCTTAGATTGCTGATTGAGATATTTTTTCTTTTCAACATATGCATTTAAAGCCATAAAATTTCCTCAAAGCACAGTTTTATTAGCATCCCATAAAATTTTATATATGGTATCATTCAGTTTAAAATATTTTCTAATTTCCTATGTGATTTCTTCTTGAGAAAAATGATTACTCAAGTATATTACTTTATTTTTTTTGTTTTTATTGATATTTTATTATTTGTTATTTTTAAAACAATTCCATTGTGGTTAGAGAACATACTCTATATGATTTCAAACTTTATATTTTCAGTCTTGTTTTATGGCCCAGATATTACTCTATCCAGGTAAACATACCATATGTACATAAGAAGAATGTGTATTCTGCTGTTGTTCAGAGCATTTAAATCAAGATGAATAGTAGTGCTATTCAGAATTACGTATTTGTTGATATTTTGACTAGTATTATAAACTGATGAGAGAATGGTCTTATAATTTTTAGTCATTTGGAAACTATCTAGTTCTCATTTTGATTCAGTCAATTTTTGCTTTATATATTTTTGTTAATGGGGTCACATACACATTTCTGTTTATCTCTGATTAATTGATGTTTTTATCATTATGAAGTATCTTCCTTGTACCTGGTGATACATTTTATTGTGAAATTTATTTTATCTGCTATTAATATGGTCACTCCAGCCTTCTTAATCTTATTTTTTGCATGCTATTACTTTTAATATATTTGCTGGAAATATCTCTGTATCTTTACACTCAAAATGCATGTTTATACAGCTTATAATTTAAAAAATTTTTATTCTCACAATCTCTGCCTTTTCATGAGAATGTTTAGTCTTTTAGTATTTAATGTAATTATTGATTCAGTTGGATTTAGGTCTGTCATTTTGTTGTTATTGTTTTCTTCTTGTCTGTTATTGTTCCCTCTATCTTTTTATTATCTAGATAATTTCAGAATTACTTTTTGTTTTTTCCATTTGTATTAGTCTGTTCTCACACTGAGACTGGGTAATATAAAGAAAAAGGGGTTTAATCAACTCACAGTTTCACATGGCTAGGGAAGCCTCACGATCATTGCAGAAGGCAAAGGAGGAGCAAAGGCATGTCTTACGTGGTAATAGGCAGGAGACTGTGCAGGGAAGCTGCTCTTTTTAAAACCATTAAATCTTATGAGACTTATTCACTATAATGAGAACAGCATGGAAAAACCCACCCCCATGATTCAATTACTTCCCACTGGGTCCCTCCAACAACATGAGGATTATGGAAGCTACAATTCAAGATGAGATTTGGGTGTGGACACAACCAATCCATATCACTGTTGGATTTTGAGCTATGTTTCTTTGCATAATTTTTCTGCATTACTCTACATACTATAATAAGCATCTTTAACTTTTCATTTATTTTATGGTTAACAATTTACCCCACCAAATAAAATATAGAAATCCTCCAACTACATAAGTCCATATGCTATTTGCTTCCTGCCTTTGTATTAAAATATACATATAATGTATGCATATATATACTTTAAAAAACCCAAAAGAAAATGTTATAATTTTAAAAACATTTATATGCTTATGAAGAAATTAAGAAAAAAAGATGAAAAATAATTTTGTACATACCCTAATATTTGCCAGTTTTTGAATTATTCATCAATTTCTAAGGATATGGGTTTTTTTTTTTTTTTGCTATTATTTCCTGAAGTGCAATTCTGCTGACAAAAATTCTCTAAGAGTTTTCTTTTATATGAAGATTTCTTCATTTTGTTTTTGGTCTTGAAGAATTTTTTTTATTATTATTATAGAACTATGGATTGATGGTGTCTTTCACCCACCACTTTAAACATTTTTTTTCAATGTCTTCTGGCCTCGATAGTTTCTGATGAGAAATCAGCCATTAATTTCCCATTATTTCTGTATGCAATTGTATATTTTTTTCCTCCTGTATTCAAAGTGTGATTTTTATCTTTGACTTTTGACAGTTTAACTATGATATATGCATGCAAGCACTTGCTGCTTATTCTGTATGGTATTTGTTTAGCATTTTGTATTTGCAAATTTTTTTCATTAAATTTGAAAAAAAAAGCTTGGCTTTTAATTGGTCAAATATTTTTTTCTTTCCCATTTGCTCTTTATGTATTTATATTATTCCAGTTATACTTAATGTGAGCCATTTGGCATTATCTACCTTCTCCCTGGTATTCTTTGCCAAGAATAATTTGTATAGATCTCTTTCCAAATTTACCTTTTCTTCTCTTCATTTCCCCCATGTTCAACCAGCTGTTAAGTTTATCCAGTGAAACTGTATTTTTTAGCTCTTGAATTTCCATTTGGTTATTTTTATATGTTTCTATATTTCTTCTGAAATTTTATATTTCTTACCTGAGTTTTACATACCATGAGTACATGCTTTGTATTAGTTCTTTGAGGACAGTTATAAAGCCATTTAAAAGTACTCGCATTAGTTCCAACATCTGGTTTATTTCAGTAACAAGGTTAATTGATTTTTTTAATGTATGTTCTATTATTTTGATTCCTCATAAGTTAGTTATTTTTGGATTATGTACTTGGTAGTTTGCACATTAAGTTGTGGTGATTTTTTTTTTCTCTCTCTCTCTCTATTTTTGTTGTTTCCTTTATTTTTCCAAGTAATTTTCTTGGTTGGGTTTGAAATGCAGTTTTTCTGTAGAGGCAGCTCTAGTATTAGTTAAGGCCTTTTGCCTGTAGGTGATTTCTTTTCTTTTCTTTCTTTTTTTTTTTTCTTCTTTGAGATGAAGTCTCACTCTTGCTACTCAGGCTGAAGTGCAGTGGTGCGATCTCGGCTCACTGCAACCTCCACCTCCCGGGTTCAAGTGATTCTCCTGCCTCAGCATCCCGAGTAGCTGGGATTACAGACACCTGCCACTATGCCCGGCTAATTTTGTTGTATTTTTAGTAGAGACACGGTTTTGCCATGTTGGCCAGGCTGGTCTTGAACTCCTGACCTCAGGCGATCCACCAGCCTCGGCCTCCCAAAGTGCTGGGATTACAGGCGTGAGCCACCGCGCCCCGCTGGTGAAATTTTTAAAATCCCTTTCATATGTGAGTGCTACAGTGATCAGCCAGAAAAGTGAGTAGAGTTGAGGAATATGCTTGCTGTCTCTTTCATTTTTGGGATCTCCTACTCACTTCAGTGTTTATGGTTTCCAAGTTCATTTTTGGTTGCCAGTCCAGAAAGGCTGTGTTTCCACATGTTTTTTGCTGTCACTATGCCACTATACATGCTGTAGAAATTGCACTTAGCCCCAGTCTAAAAGGGAAACCTCACCCCTATTTTATAGATAAAGTGTCTAAGGTTCAGAAAGGGTAAACTTGTTTGCACAACTTTCAATCTATTATTAAATGTAAGAGTTGGAATTCATCAAAACCAATCTAAGTGACTCCAAAGATCATGTTCTTTTATTGTCACCCTTATGGCAGTTTTTTCAGAGAAATAAATTCAGTGATACATTTATGCTCATTGGGACAATAATGAATATTATACAGGTTTTTTTTTTGAGAGGGAGTTTTACTCTTTTATTATTATTATTATTTCACTTTAAGTTCTAGGGTACCTGTGCACAACGTGCAGGTTTGTTACATATGTATACATGTGCCATGTTGGTGTGCTGCACCTGTTAACTCATCATTTACATTAGGTATATCTCCTAATGCTATCCCTCCCCCCTCCTCCCACCCTGCTGACAGGCCCTGTGTGTAATGTTCCCCACCCTGTGTCCATGTGTTCTCATTGTTCAATTCCCACCTATAAGTGAGAACACGCAGTGTTTGGTTTTCTGTCCTTGCGACAGTTTGCTCAAAATGATGGTTTCCAGCTTTATCTATGTCCCTGCAAAGGACATGAACTCATCCTTTTTTATGGCTGCATAGTATTCCATGGTGTATATGTGCCTCATTTTCTTAATCCAGTCTATCATTGATGGACATTTGGGTTGGTTCCAAGTTTTTGCTATTGTGAATAGTGCCACAATAAACATACCTGTGCATGTGTCTTTATAGCAGTATGATTTATAATCCCTTGGGTATATGCCCAGTAATGGGATGGCTGGGTCAAATGGTATTTCTAGTTCTAGATCTTTGAGGAATCTCCACACTGACTTCCACAATGGTTGAACTAGTTTACAGTCCCACCAACAGTGTAAAAGCATTCCTATTTCTCCACATCCTCTCCAGCACCTGTTGTTTCCTGACTTTAATGATCGCCATTCTAACTGGTGTGAGATAGTATCTCATTGTGGTTTTGATTTGCATTTTTCTGATGGCCAGTGATGATGAGCATTTTTTCATGTGTCTGTTGGTTGCATAAATGTCTTCTTTTGAGAAGTGTCTTCATATCTAGACCAGCCTGACCACTTCGAGAAACCCCGTCTCCACCATGCCCGGCTAATTTTGTATTTTTAGTGGAGACGGGTTTTCTCCATGTTGGTCAGGCTGGTCTCGAACTCCCGGCCTCAGGTCATCCACCCGCCTTGGCCTCCTAAAGCTCTGGGATTACAGATGTGAGTTTTTTTTTTTTTTTTAATATTACTAGGTATAAAGTACAAATAAGAATTACTCATATAATCCCATTTGGTATTTATGTTTTGAAATCATTCCCACTTGTCATTTTATTCATTTAAAATTAAAAGTATTTTCTGTATTTTATAAGGCAGTTTCATGTTTTTGGAAATATTTTCAAACTTTTACTTATGAACTACTCTAATGTGGCAATTCCTCAGGGATCTAGAACTAGAAATAACATTTGACCCAGCCATCCCATTACTGGGTATATACCCAAAAGACTATAAATCATGCTGCTATAAAGACACATGCACACGTATGTTTATTTGGCACTATTCACAATAGCAAAGACTTGGAACCAACCCAAATGTCCAACAATGATAGACTGGATTAAGAAAATGTGGCACATATACACCATGGAATACCATGCAGCCATAAAAAAGGATGAGTTCATGTCCTTTGTAGGGACATGGATGAAATTGGAAATCATCATTCTCAGTAAACTATTGCAAGGACAAAAAACCAAACACCGCATGTTCTCACTCATAGGTGGGAATTGAACAATGAGAACACATGGACACAAGAAGGGGAACATCACACTCTGGGGACTGTTGTGGGGTGGGGGGAGGGGGGAGGGATAGCATTAGGAGATATACCTAATGCTAAATGATGAGTTAATGGGTGCAGCACACCAGCATGGCACATGTATAGGTATGTAACTAACCTGCACATTGTGCACATGTACCCTAAAACTTAAAGTATAATAATAATAAAGTGCATTTTCAAAAATAAGCATTCAAAAAAACAAAATAAAGGATATTTTTGTACATGAATTTTTTTATTACGAATTATCTACTAAGATTTGTCTTCAGAACTTTCATTGTTAGGGGAATGATTGTAAATACGTTTAAAACTATTGAGACAAATTGTCAAGTTGTCATTAAAGATAAGCAGATTTCTCTCAAGCAGAATATGAGTGTTTTCCAGAGTGACTAATTTTAAAACTGATGTCATTCATTTCACTTTTTATATTATTCTATATTCTAGACAAAAAAGTTAAGAAATGTTTATTTTTAAAAATATAATTGTTCCCTTTTTAAAAATTTTAATTAAAATGTGCAGTGGTTAAGTTCACTGACTCTGGAATTAAGTATGAACATAGTCTTAGCTTCAATAAAATATGTGACCTTGAGCAAGTTACTAACTTCTCTTATGCTTAGATTCCCCATCTCCAAAATGTGGATAAGACAATATTTGCATCAGAGTTTTATTTTGAACATTAAATAAGATATTATAATTAAAACATGCCATATAGCTTAGGCCCAGTGAGTGTTTAATGAATATTTTCTGTTATTATATAACAGTCCTTGGCAGACTCAGTCATGAATGTGAGTCATAATATTCAAAAGATAAATTATATTGAGCTGAGATTTCAGGGCTAAAAAATTAGTGAATCAGGGATATTCTCTATTTACCTTCATTTCACATCAGTTTAGAACAAATTATTCAGGGTTGATATTATTGAAAATATATACCCAAGTTTTAAACTGAGTCCCTTTTGATGAAGTTGTTGACTCTCAGTTTTCATCTTCATTCATCTTTCTACGTAATATATTCTTTCCTAGTTTCCCTTTGGTAAGAAATATCATTGTAATCCAAAATAATCCTTCCAGTATGCAAAATGTAATTTTAGATATATCAGTTGCATATTATATTAACTTTAGTAGTTTTGATAAATGGATAGAGGAGTTGCAAACATCTTTGAATAAATATGGCTTGAGAGCAAAGAACCTATTAAAATCACTTTTACATGGAAAACAAAAATTCTTCGTCAAATCATAGCTATAAGAAATACATGTAGTTCACTCATTCATTGAATAAATGTTTATGAGGACTCCACTGTAACACTGTTTTGCACTAGATATATACAACAAAAATCTCATAGGATATCCTCAAATGCCTTAGAATTTTGAAAGCTATTGTAATTTCACAATTATCTAACACAGCATTTTATAATACATTGGTCTAAGGTATTTAATATTTGTCTAAAATAATATTGGGTGGTTTAAATACAAATATAACCAAGGAAGGCATGGTCAGTTCTGGATAGTATACTGAAAATTTCGTAATGCTTCACAGAAGAGGTGGCAATTGAAGATTTAGGATGACCTTTGATCTAGAAGGAGACAAGTAATATCACATGAATGTTATAAAGATATCTCCATTCAGCATTATCTGATACTTGATCTCAAGCACTTTAGCCGTAGCTAGTATTTCAGGATGATTTTCAAAGAGACTCAAAATAAAGTGACTGCAACAGATGAATGTAGAAGAAGGAGGAAAACATTTTAAAAAATCAGCATGAAAAAGATAAAATGATAGTATCTTTGTTAAATTTAAGTTTAAAAAGGAATTCCTTACCATTATGAAAATCTATTCTGAATTTAAATTTAAAAACATGCTCAGATTTTAAATCTCCAGATAGTGGATATACAAATTGTGGCTATACCTAGTTAGAGTGATCTGCAAAAATAGAAAGACCATTTAAAAATGTTCCCTTTGCCAACCAGTTTTATTTTTTATGTGATCCAGTTTTAACCATATTTGAATTATATCACTGAGATAGCACTATAAGAAAGTAAAAAGCTGTCACTCTGGAGAACATAAGTGTCTCTAGTTATACACTGCTATGCCGGAACTCACTGATGTGAAAATACGAATGTCTCTCCTTTAGGCCTCATTGAACTGAAAATATTTTGGGGTTTCTTAGTGTTGGATACATGCTTAGAATATTACATGGTATGCATTTTTGGTAATTATTAGCAATGTCGTGATTCTTTTTATATTGTATTATTAGTCAATAGTGATTTGTGAAAACTAAGAGAGGGGCCAGGCATGGTGGCTCATGCCTGTGATCCCAGCACTTTGGGAGGCTGAGGCAGGCAGATCACCTGAGGTCAGGAGTTCGAGACCAGCCTGGCCAACATGGTGAAACCCTGTCTCTGCTAAAAATATAAAAATTAGCCAGGCGTGGTGGCATGTGCCTGTAATCCCAGCTATTCTGGGGGCTGAAGCGGGAGAATCGCTTGAACCTGGGAGGTGGAGATTGGGCTGAGCCGAGATCACGCCACTGCACTGCAGCTTGGGTGCCAGAGCAAGACCTTGTCTAAAAAAAAAAAAAAACTAAGAGAGGTATATATATGTGTGTGTGTATGTATATATATATATATATATATATATATATATATATATATATATATGCATACACACACAAATACATATGTATATAGATATATATTCTGAAATAGAAACTATGAGACTTTTTTATAATTTTTAAAATAGAAAGTATATGTGAAGCTTCTTTAAACACACTAGTGTGCTATACTATTTCTCCTTATACATGTCATAACTCAGGAGGAAAAAGGAAAGGAAAACTGTTGCAATCCTTTTTTTATTAAAATATACCATTCTTCAAAATACCATTTGCCTCAGATATTACCAGGTAATATTTATTTTTCCAAAAAATTGAGCAAATTTAACCAACTCTTGCCTGAACAAATTGATTATGTAACATACCTAAAAAGTGGCAAAAAAAGAAAAGGAAAACAAAGAAAAAACTCAAATGGTTTATAGTTAGTAACTAACAGAGCTAACATCAGTGATCCTATCTATGAATATAGTTAGAATCAACATTTTATTCAACATTTTGTTTACATAGAATCAGTCACCTTTATTCATATTTGATTGCCTAACTTTACAGCTAAGTTTCTACATTGCTTTTTATATTTGAAAATTGTAGAGAAAACTTTACTTGATAAACTTCAAGGAGTAGATAGTTTTGCCACATATCTTCTTTATATTAAATGAAATGCCAATTTTTTGCATGTTTGATTTATATTATTGATCAGCAAACTGGGAATTTAAATGCTTACCTTCTGCAATTTTCTTTTTTGAATACAAACCAATGTCCCAGCTCAAAGTCCAGTATCTTCAAGTGAGGCATAGATCTCTATATCAAGTCTGGAAACCTATGCGTTAACAAGTTGGTTGTCCCTTATACAACCAAGTCTAAGTAGTGGGGCATGGAATAATACCTGCCATTACAAATAGCGATAAATGGAAGCCACAAGGGTCATTGTGAAGAATTCCTGGAGAGCAAAGTTTATTAATTAGATTTTGGTTTTGCTTTTTAAGACTAGCTTCCTGGTTAGTTTTTCTTTTCTTTTTTTAAATTTCAACTTTTTTTTAGATTCAGAGGGTACATGTGCAGTTTTGTTAAATGAGTATGTTGTGTGATGCTGAGGTTTGGTATAGAAATGATCCCATCAGCCAGATAATGATCATAGTACTCAACAGTAAGTTTTTTAACCCTTGCCCTTCGTCCCTCCCTTACCCCTCTAATAGTCCCAAGTATCCATTATTGCCATTTTTATGTCCATGAGTACCTATTGTTTAGCTCCCACTTATAAGTAAGAAAATGCGGTATTTCCTTTTCTGTTCCTGCATTAATTCACTTAAAATAATGGCCTCCAGCTGCTTCCATGTTGCTGGAAAGGACATGACTTTATTTTTTATGGCTGCATAGTATTCCATGGTGTATATGTACTATATTTTTATCTAACCCACTGCTGATGTGCACCTACATTGATTCTATGTCTTTGCTATTGTGAATAGTGCTGCAACAAACATAAAGAGTGCAGGTGTCTTTTTGGTAGAACAATTTATTTTCTTTTGGATATATACCTAGTAATGAGATTGCTGGGTCAAATGGTAGTTCTGGATTATTTGAAAATCTCTACAGGCTGCTTTCCACAAGGACCAAACTAATTTATATTCCCTTCATCAGTGTAAAAGTGTTCCCTTTCTCCACAGCTTCATGAGCATCTACTATTTTTTGACTTTTTAATAATAGCCATTCTGACATGTGAGATAGTATCTCATTGTGGTTTTGACTTGCATTTCTCTGATGATTAGTGATGTGGGTCATTTTTCATGTTTCTTGGCTACTTGTATGCCTTCTTTTGAGAAATATCTGTTTATGTCCTTTGCCCACTTTGTAATGAGGTTATTTGGTTTTTGCTTAACTATTTAAGTTTCGGATAGATTCTGGATATTAGATCTTTGTCAGATGCATAGTTTGCAGATATTTCCTTCCATTCTTTAGTTTGTCTGTCTACTCCGTTGATAATCTCTTTTGCTGTGCAGAAACTCTTTAGTTTAATAAGGTTTCACTTGTCAATTTCTATTTTTGTTGCAATTGATTTTTAGGAGTTAGTCATAAATTCTTACCCAAGGCTGATGTCCACAATGGTGTTTTCATTATGGTAGATTTTCTAGAAAATCCTATATTTTCTTTTAGGGTTCTTAGAGTTTGAGTTCTTACATTTAAATTTTTAATCCATCTTGACTTAATTTTTTTGTATAGTGAAAAGCAGAGCTTTAGTTTCATTCTTCTAGCATATAGCTAGCCAGCTATTTCAGCACTATTTATTGAATAGGGAATCCTTTCCCCATTGCTTATTTTTGTCAACTTTGTTAAAGATCAGATGGCTGTAGGTGTGCGACTTTATTTCTGTGATCTCTATTCTGTTCCATTGGTCTGTGTATCTGTTTTTGTACCATTACCATGGTGTTTTGGCTTACTTACTTAGATTTGGTCTTATAGTATAGTTTGAAGTTGGGTAATGTGATGCCTCTGGTTTTGTTCTTTTTGCTTAGGATTTGTTTGTCTATTTGGGCTCCTTTTTGGTTTTATATGAATTTTAGAATAGTTTTTTTTCTAATTCTGTGAAAAATGATGTTGGTAGTTTTATAGGAATAGAATTGAATCTGTAGATTGCTTTGGACAACATGGCCATTTTAATGATATCGATTCTTCCAATGCATGAACATGGAATGTTTTTCCATTTGTTTGTATCATCTATGACTTATTTCAGCAGTGTTTTATAGTTCTCCTTGTAGAGATCTTTCACCTTATTGGCTAGAGGTATTTTAATTTTTGTGTGTGGCTATTGTAAATGAGGTTGCATTCTTGATTTGGCTCTCAGGTTGAATGTTATTGGTGTATAGAAATACTACCAAGTTGTTCATAATTTTGTTTTCTAAAACTTTACTGAAGTTGTTTATTAGTTCCAGGAGTCTTTTGGCAGAGTCTTTAAGTTGAAGCTAATGCTCATTTACCATTTTGAAAATTCTAGGACTCTTCAGAATTATGCTAAATTTACTTTTCCTGTGCTTTATATATGAAATAACAAAGCTTGGATGACAACACATCTATTTACAGAATGGTTTGCTGAATATTTTAAGCCTACTGTTGAGACCTACTGCTCAGGGAAAACCATTTCTTTCACAATTACTGACAATGCACCTAGTCATCCAAGAGCTCTGATACAGTTGTACCAGGAGATTAATGTTGTTTTCATGCTTGCTAACACAACATCCATTCTACAACCTGTAGATCAAGGAATAATTTTGACTTTTAAGTCTTATTATTTTAAAAATACATTTTATAAGTCTATAGCTACCACAGATAATGATTCGTTTGATGGATCTGAGCAAAGTCAATTGAAAACCTTCTGGAGAAGATTCATCATTCCAGATGTCTTTAAGAACATTTATGATTTATGGGAGGAGGTCAAATTATCAACATAAACAGGAGTTTGGAAGTAGTTGATTCCAACTGTCTGGGATGACTTTGATAGGTTTAAAACTTCAGTGGAAAAAGTCACTACATATGTGGTAGAAATAGCAAGAGAAATAGAATCAGAAGCATAGACTGAGTATGTTGCTCAATTGCTACAATCTCAGGATAAAACTTTGTAACAAATGTGGAATTGCTTCTTGTGGATGAGCAAAGAAAGTGGCTTCTTGAAATGTCATCGACTACTGGTGAAGATACTGTGAGCTTTGTTAAAATGACAACTAAGGATTAAAACATTATATAAACTTACTTGCTATTACATAAAACTTGCTTGATTAAGTATGGTTTGAGAGGATTAACTCCAATTTTGAAAGCAGTTCTACTGTGGGTAAAATGTGATCAAACAACGTCTTATGCTACAAAGACGTCTTCCATGAAAGAGTCAATCAATGCAGCAAACGTGATTGTTGCCTTATTTTAAGAAATTGTCACAGGCATACCAACCTTCAGCAATCACCACTATTATTCAGCAAGACACTGTACCACAAAAAGATTATGGATTACTAAACGCTTAGATGATTGTCAGCTTTTTTCTTAGCAATAAAGCACTTTTAATTAATGTGTATACATTCTTTCTTTAGATATAAGGTTATTGCACACTAACTAGGCTATGGTACAACGTAAATGTAATTTTTATATACACTGGAAAACCAAAAAAATTTGTGACTTTCTTTCTTATAATACTTGCTTTATTGCGGTATTCTGAAACTGAACCTACCATATCTCTGTACATGGTAACAAATTTTGAGGTAATTGGGTACATGAAGTCTGGTTGTGTTCTTAGGATTAAAATAAAATTTATTTGGTGAAGAACAAGTTGAATTCTTTATAGATACTAATTGAATATCCTATCAGAGCTTCATGAGAGTGCTGGCCCCCACACATCCTTCTGAAGGACCGTTTTTTGTTTGTTCTGCTTTGATTTTTAAGGACACTTAGTTGAAGGGAGAGAAATACACATACTTCTATTTCCCTGATTTCCCAACATCAATGTCTAATAACAACCCCAGCAAGGAAGGAAAAAGAAAACACAGGGTTGAAAACTCCATTTGTATGTGTGTGAGAGGGAGAGAAAAAAACAGAGACAGACACAACTCCAAACACTAAAAGTAAAGAACTACTGAAAAATATTGTGAATTGTGGATGAAAATACAGAAGGATTCTGAGAAAATATGAAAAAATTACAGATCCTCTATAAGACAGAGAACTCTACAAAAATAAGACACATCTCTGAAGGGACTGCCTTATTTGGAATAATGAAATCTGGAGGTATGGTGGGTTACACTGGTACATCTTTCTCCACATGGAAGAGCAGGAAACAAATTCAGGCCTGAAAGAGAAGACATGCAAAAGTACCATTTTTGCAAGAAGCAGGGGGCAGAAGTGGTGGGCTGGAGAAGAAATATATATGGCAATTGGCTTGGCAACCATTAATTGAGACAGCTGGAAAAAAATAATTAAATTCTAAATCACCACAATGAGAACCTGCAATATACAGGGTTGAACTGTGAATCACACAGCTCTCCAGCATATTCTGAAATGGGACTGTGGAGCAGAAATATGCCCCTAAACATATGGAACCACTAATTTGATTAGAACCATGTCTGAAATAACAACTCTAAATGTAAACTGCTACTTTTCAATCTATTCCCCACAATTGCCCTTTAGCCACAATCCAGCAGCAACTACTTCTACTGGATAGGACCTGCCCCTTCAACTATGGATGGTATTTAAACATAAACCAGACTGAAATCCTTAGAATGGTAGAAAAATACCAAAAGAAGGATAGTTAGCAATAGCCATAACAACAGAACTATAACACCAAGCAAAAGCTTCAAATATACCCATCTATGTGAGTTCAAAGAGTTCAGATAAAGAAATAAGGCTTCTTTGAGGGGAGTTTGAAGAAAACATGCAAAAGAATAAAGAAGAGATAAGGAAACAAAAAGAATGAAAGTGATCTGGCATGGCAAGAAAGAAAGCCATGTTAGAAGCAGTAAAAAATTTTATAGATTCAGGAGAAATCATTGTCAGGCAAATGGAAAGTAAGCTGGAGATAGTTGACATAAATGAAATGGAAAAAGCAATGAAAGTGATGTAACAAGAGGTATCCTGTGTGTTGGCGGGTGTGTGTGGTGTGTGTTGGTGTGCTCGTGTGTCTGTATTTGATAATTATGAAAGCAAAGGGAAAGAAGTGTGAAGATATAGGCAGAGTAAACTTTCTTATAATAACAATGTAAGTGTGGGCCGAGCGCGGTGTCTCAAGCCTGTAATCCCAGCACTTTGGGAGGCCTAGGCGGGCAGATCACGAGGTCAGGAGATCGAGACCATCCTGGCTAACATGGTGAAACCCCATCTCTACTAAAAATACAAAAAATTAGCCGGGCGTGGTGGCAGGCGCCTGTAGTCCCAGCTACTAGGGAGGCTGAGGCAGGAGAACGGCGAGAAACGGGGAGGCGGAGCTTGCAGTGAGCCGAGATTGCGCCACTGCACTCCAGCCTGGGCGACAGAGTGAGACTCCGTCTCAAAACAAAAAACAAAAAACAAAACAAAACAACAACAACAACAAAAAAACAATGTAAGTATACAGATTGAAGTGCACCCTGTGTTTTAGGAAAGAAATCTCACTCAAAGGGATTAACACTGAGACACATGTTGGTGACTAAACTGAGCTTTAAAGATTAAACAAGGCAAGTTAGCTGGAAAGTAGAAAATTCAGGCAGACTGAGATTTCTACAAGCAAAAATAATCCAGTGGCTAGAATACAAAGTATTGTATGTAATCAAGTTATCCTTTGGCTGCTAAAGGATATGGTGAGTCTTGAATTTACTTACACTTGGAATCAAAGATAAAAAAAAAGAACAATGAAAGTTACAAAATAGAAGGTAAATCTGTAAACTAGGAAAATTTAGAAGTAATTTAACAAAAGTCCAGAGAGGATAAAAAACAGGTGGTATAAAGTGTAAGTGTGCTTATTTCCTCATCTTTCTTAGCAGAGACTCAGAAGAGACAGATTAAACAAACTACAGACAAATCCGTAGGAAAAAATATTATTTTAAGGTAGCTTAACTGAGATGAAATTCTCTTTGAAATAATCAAGCAGCAGGTGTTAAGTTTTTTTTTAAAGGGCATTTTAGTCCTAGGGGATGTGCCAGTTTCTGTCATTTTATCTAAAACTGTCAATTTTGAAGAAGATTTTATCACTTTATCATCTTTTCTCTTAGGTTTCTGCTTCTTAATATTAAACATGTGATTCTTGAGAAAATTATTATTGTTAGCATTGTATATTAAATAATAACAACAATGACTCTTATTAAGATTCCAGAATTTTCTTCTTGTATCAGTGGTTCTCTTACTGAAGAGAAATTTCTAATTCTTTCAATATTGTTGAACTATATGTGATCATTTTAACAAAATATAAAATATTCTTAAACTAATATAATTCTTATTTTGTCACTTTATTTTGCACTCACATTTTGGAATAATATTAATATACTTGTTCTGAATTAACTAGCACTTTTCTGCTGTTATTTTGTATTTTCATTGATGCTTCAACTTTAGAAAATTACTTCTTACAAGTGTTAATGAGGGGTAAATTTTCAGACAGTAAGCATGAACTTAACTATGAGACTGTTATTAAAATTAATGAGTGTCACTATTAGAACATGGTAAATCTATACCATTAATGTCTTCTAATTGTTAATCATCATTAAGGAGTTAGAACATCATTATCATTACTTTTTCTACGTTTTATTTGAACATTATCACCATTAAAGAAAATCAAGGGAAAGTTACAGTCATATTTCTGAGCTGCAGATCCAAGAGTAATTAAATATTTCTAGATGAATAGTGTATTTTGAATTTTGTGACACTGGAAGTTGCAACTAAAATTGAGAAATTTGATAAGTAGGTAGCTATTAGAAGCAACTATCTTCCCTATAATACCTCTGTCCCTGGATGTTTTATAAACTATAAGTTAATGTCCCAAAGGACAAAAAGTATCAGTTATTATAATATATAGGTGTTAGATGATTTCAAAACGCTTTCAGAGTATTTTAATTCTAAGTATTAAAAATTTCCTTAAATAATTCTGAAACTCTTTGTAGGTTCAAATTTTAAAATAAGCTGTTAGCATTATTTCTATGTCACCATTTACATTATACTCCTTGCGACTCAATGTATTTTTTTAGCTTTGCCCTTTATTTCTTTCAGTTACTATTTAGCACCCTTATGAGGGAGAGCAAAGTACCAAAAATCTAATATTCCTGCTTCCTGAAAGATGGTTTCAAGTGGACACAACTGTATTTTAGAGGATACTAAAGTGTTTTCTATACAAAGAATTGTGTATTTGAAGTCCTTTTTCTATCTCACTGGTAATGAAACATATTTTTTCTTTCCACACTTCATCTGCAATAGCATTGAGGGATTTTAACTCTAATTTGGAATACAGCATAATATTCTGAGAGGCAGGAAAAGATCACTTTAAATCATAAAGAATTAGATTAGATATTTCATTTCTCTGTAAGTAAAAATGAATATTTTACTAAGATGAGAGAAGGTGAAAATGCATGACACACATAGAAGGTGTGTCCTTCTCTATCCATTTTCTATTATTCATTATTGCTTGAAATAGTTTCTTTGACGAGCTCTAATATCTTTTTGCAGCTGTAATTCAATGTAAGAAATATGGATGACTGTTTATTATTGTTACTAAATGAAAAAAGCCTTTTTTCCTTGGATACAATAGATAAATGTTTAAAGACAAACAAAATGTCCTTCTTATGTTGTACAATCTACATGAGACAGATGATAGGATATTTCTCTAACTGATGGCTGAGTAAATCACTTCATTTTCATTGTTTCCACAGTGTTGACCAACATGCTGCCAGTCTGACTTCCCACTTCTGATTTAAACACATGATTCAGAATGACTTTGGAGGGTTGTGATACTCACGAATTTATGGGGCACTTGTATGTGGGATTCTCATCACTGTACAGCAACCCTGTCATTTTTGTGACAGAGACTGTTTGACTGGTTTCGGATTTATGATGGAAATAACTCAGAACAGAGTAATAATTTTCCCTTGGCAATTACACTACCATTTGGTACTTTGTCCCTAAGGGGAAAATGAATGTGCTGGGATCTGTACATGAGTTTATTAGCTCAATGTAGGGAACAAATCAAGGTCAGAATATAGATGCATGGCACGTGATGCTGAATTCTAGTTCTGGTTCTTCAGTCTTAAGGCTGCCACCTTTGTGTGGCACTTTACAGTTTACGAAATACTCTTCCATTTCTTGTCTTTTAACTCACGATGACGCTGGAAAGGAAATACTGTTTCCCCCATTTTATAAAGGAAGAAACTGAGACTAAAATGGTCACCTTTCTTGAAGTTTGTTATTCAGCAAATATTCTTAAGCATATGCCATAGGAAGGCTTTATGATACATACTGGGGATACAGAGATAAATAAGATTTAGACCCTACTTTGTTTTTTAACTATTTATTGTGAAGAATTTCAAATATGCACACACACTGGAAAAAGAGTGTAATGAAACTGCTGTATCAGTCATTTTGCATCAACAATTGTTTACTCATGGTCAGTCTTATTTCATCCATGTCCCCATCCAACCTTTTATACTATTTTGAAGCAAATTCCACACTTCAAATTAATTTATTTAAATAATTTCACTGTGTATCTCTAATAATAATTATTATTAAACATGACCATCTAAAAATTAACATCCCTTTAATAATATCAACTATCCAGGAAGCGTTCAAATTTCCAATGGTTTCATAAATGCCATATTCTTTTCACAGTTTGCTTAAATTAGGATCTAAATGATTTTACTGCTCAGTGAGTAGTTAATATCTTTTCAAGTCTTTTAAAACTATTTATTTTTCATTTTAATTAAAAAAAATTTCCTTCCCAACAATTTAGTGAGGAAGGTTGTTTGTCCTACTCAACTTTCCACAGTCTGGATTTTGCTAATTGCATCCGCACTGTGCACTTTTATGTGTTCCTCTGTCCCCTCTTTTCCCTGTAAATCGGTAACTGAATCTAGAGGCTTGATCCAGTACAGGTTTAAATTTTTGGCAAGATTACTTCAGAGTTGATTCTGTATGCACACATAGCATAAATAATTGTATCTCTTTTTATGATATTCACAACTGTTGCTGTTCAATGTCTGAATCTTTAATTCACTGGATGTTGCAAAATGCTGTTTCCTTCATTGATTTTTTTTATGTGAAAATGGAATAGTTTTTCAAAGAGAAACTTGCTGTTGTTTACTATTTGGCAACCAGTGATACAGTTTTTTTTAAAAAGTCAGAATAAATCCTTGATGGTTTTCTTTATTTTTCAGTTTCAAAACTAATGAGCCAGTTCTCTAGCATGCTCCATAGTGACCAATTATTTTGTTTGGTTTTGTCTTTAAGTATCATTTTGACCTTATGAATTTAAGTCTATCAGATAGGTTTCAAGTCATAGCAGTTTTTATTCTTAATGACACTCAAAAATGGTCTAACTTTGGCCAGGAGGTTCTTTAAGTTGGTTTTAGAGCACAGATTAAATGTGTTGCTATCGCTTTGCTCTTGGTAGAGTCCCTCTGTCTTTTTTGGCTGCTCTTTTAAAGCCTTTCCAAGCCTTTCCTCTTTTTAAAGCCATCATTCCCTTTAGCATCACTAGAATACACTCTCAAAAGTATTTCTATTTTTCCTTCAAAAATGTTCCACTTTTTGGAGTGTTGTATTGTCTTCCTGCTTAATTATTAAACTTTGCATCAGTCTAAAATTTCAACTTTAGCTCTACATTTAGATAATTATAAAGGCCTCATATATGTATTGATACCTGCATGTATGAACTAGAGCTGTACTTGGTTTTGAGATTTATTTTTGAGATATTTAATTGAGATGGGCTATCTCTGGGTTTCATTTCAGGCCCAAAATTCAGCCCTACAGTTATGTAGAGGAAGCAATTACTCCCATGCGCCATATGCCATTATTTGAGTCCTTCACGCTTTCCTTCTCAGGCAAGGTATAGAACCCCAAACCACTTTCCAGAGCCTTAATTCTTGCCTTTCCTATACAACGTTGAGATGGAAAGTATTTCTTTGTTTGAAGCATTTTTTCTCATGTAAATTAAAGATACTTTATATCATTACCTCCCCTTTTCTTTTTGGGACCACATCCTGGTAATCTATTTGTTTACCTGTGTCAACAATACTTCTGAAAGCAAAGTGTTATTGTAATGCACGCTGTTGATGGTAGGTATAGTACTGCTAACTGAAACAGCCTCTGTAGGCCAGAGTCTGAGCTAAGAGTGTTCTCTGATTTATGTAGATTGGATGAAATGCTAAAGGAATCCAGGGAATGGGATCAGTGGTTAAGAACATGGCTTTGGCTAATGTGGCCAAAAAATGGCCAAAGGCTAAAAGGAGTATTTACAATGAGTTCACTAAGACCTCCATTTTAATGTCAGCCATGAACCAAACTTCTCCCTCCATCCCCATTTATTGTTATGCTTTTCTCATAAGGCCATGGATTACTCTCACTTCATATCCCCTATAATTTTCTCCCATATTTTCTTTTACTAGAACATGGTAAAGAGAATAAACAATTATCCCCAGTTCTTTTTAGAATGGTGGCAAGAATATCATGGGTGTGGTGTAGGAGGACTGGGTTCAAATTCCAGCTCTACCCTTATTTGCAATATGAACCTGGGGGGGTTAGAAAACTTTTTTGAGCCTCAATTTTGATCTGTAGAATGGGGATGGTAATACTGCCAACCTGAGAAGATTGTTTAAAGGATTTAGTCACATAGTGTATGCAAAGCATTAGCACAGGGACTGACATACAAGGAACCCTAAAGCAATGTTGGCTATCACAGTGCCTGTCTGATCTACATAAGGCTCTCTGCTCCTTTGTCTGGCATCGTTTGTTGCTTTACAAAGACTAAAAACATGTACTCAGAGATTTTCCAAGAAACACATGTTTAGCTTAATAATTCTAATTTGGGTATTCTATCCAAAGAAAATCATTCCGAACATGTAAAAGCATTATGTACAAGGATGTTCATAGTCCTATTATTTATGATATAAAACATGTATATAACCACAATATTTAACAATAGTGAACTACACTTATCTTCTCAACAAAATATTATTAGAACCAATCCGAAGGTAATTATGAAGAATTTGAATAACATGCAAAAAATTTTTTGAGTACTGATTTTATTTCCTGCTCTTTTCTTTCTTTATTTTTTTATCTTTTATTTTAGTTTCGGGGGAACATGTGCAAGTTTGTCATATAGGTAAATTGCAAGTCATAGAGATTTGTTTTACAGATTATTTTGTCACGCTGGTAATAAGCATAGTACCCAATAGGTTGTTTTTCAAACTTCAACCTCCTCCCTCCCTCCACAATAAGTTAAATATATAAACTTCTGTGTATAATATAGAAAAGGCAAAACTTTTGACATAAACATTAGACTAGAGAAGACATAGTCAGTTCTTTTTAAGTTGTTTGGTTTGAGTGATGTTTTTACTCTTTTCTAGTTTCCTGTTATTCACATATTTCTCCAAAAATCAGCCATATAGGAAGTTAGAAGCTTCACTGATTTATGGACCTTTAGGTTAATGATTGGATGTCCTGATGGCAGTAGACTCAACCTCTGAAAAATCCTGTTGGAATTTTTTATTCTTTGTACTCCCATGTGGCCCCTTTAGAGCACTAAAAAACTTCACTGCTCAATAAGCAGAATTCCATACTACCTTTAAGAGTTGTATTTTCCATGGAAATCATAAACTCTGTGGATTATTTATTTTTTATTCATTTCAGGCAGTAGTCTGTATTTCAATTCTAGGCTAATTCTGCTAATTAACCCAAAGTGGAATATACACCTTCCTGTACATAAAGTATATATTCTTTTAAAATGAATTCATTATTGAAATTATTTATCCGTGACCTTCCCTATGTTTTCTAATGCTGCTTCTGACATTTAAACAATAAAAAACGTGTGGATAAGCTTTTGTAATAATTTTTTCTGATATCTTCATAAGAAACTTTCTAAAACAAACATCATGCATAGTCTGTCTTTAAAACTTACCTTCTCTGTTTTTATGTCATTCATTTCACTCACTAGGTTTATATTTTTCTCATGTAAGCATAGTCCGTGTAGTGAGAGAAGATCAACTGGGAAATCATATTTCACATCCTTCTCATCTTGAAAGACCACGTGGCACATTTGAGTTTGCTCTCCGTAGCAGCCAGAGTCACCCTTTTAAAGCGTAAATCAGATCGTGTCATTTCCCAGCTCAAAAACTTGCGGTGGCTTTCCATCACATATAGAAAAACAATCTGAGCTCCCACTGTGCAGCAAACAGTTCGGGTGCCTGCGTGTGTGTGTGTGTGCACCTGGGTCTGCGCTAGGTCTCTGCAGGGGCAGAAGCAGGAACCACAGGTGGATTGCCTGCCCCCACAGAGTCACCTTCTAAGCACATGAGAATGAGAACATCACCATGGTGCAGGGCATCCGACTTTCAGAAAATATAATTGATGGGAGAAAGCAACTCCCATCATCTGATTTAATGTCACAGCAGTATTCTGCTGTTTATGGTGCATCAGTTTTTTCATGAAGATTTAAAAAGAAGAGTACCTGAGGAACTGGCATTGGAGCATGCCCAAAAGAAGATTCTGAAAATCAGAAATGATTAAAGCAAGGTAAAGAACTGGACCAACCAAGAGAGGGCCACTGCCAATGAGCTTTGCTTCAGAGAGGCTATCAAATGAGGAGGAAGGCTGTAAGGCAAAACACCTGGCTGAGCACCTGGAAGAGAAAGACTTAGTGGCAAAGCAGCAGGATGCATTTTAAAAGGAGCAGCTGGCTAGACTGGAGGAGAGGAGCTGAATTCCACAAAGTCACCACTGAGCAATATCAGAAAGCTGCCAAAGAGAGGGCAGCAAAGTTCAGTGACATGAGTTTTGTCCTGTCTGTGCTGATCTGCAGGCCAAAATTCTTCAGTGTTATCACCAGAGCACACACCAGACCCTCAGTGGCTTTGCACTAGCCAGCGTGTAAGTGTGCTGTGTTCATTATGCCAAACAGAACATGCTTGAGAAGAGATCATAATATCAACTTCTGGAACAAGCAAATCTCCTTCAACATTAATTCCAGAGGTAGAACTTTTTTTATTTTTTCCTAGCAAGAAAATAACCCATTTAAAGAGAATACCATTAAAGAGAAGCACCAGAGGGTGAATTCTGAACAAATTATATCACATTTTGATCAGTAATGATTTGAAAAGACAGCCCTCTTGACCTTTTTGCACTTTCAACTTCTACTGGCCATAAAAACTTTCTCTTCTAACCAAGCTCCTTCATTTCATGAACCTTCACTCTAACAAAGCTAGGGGTGAGGGTGAGGGTAAGTTATTAATAATTGGAGT